>NC_000007.14:147943228-148094743 GCF_000001405.40 Homo sapiens
TTGCTGATGGTAGATTAACTTTTCATGTAACTTTATTTATTTTACTGTTGGCACACACGGCATTTTTGTGTAAAGTTTTCTAATGATTTTTACATGAAATGATGTCCAGTTATAAATCTCTATTCTATACCTTGAATTTAAACCAACAATTTTTTTCACTTAATCCTATTGTATTATGTGGTGTTGTTTTTATTATTCTAATCTATTTAAAGCATATTAATCTCACTCTGAAAGCTGTATAAAAACCTCTAAATCTGGGCCGGGCGAAGTCGCTCACGCTTGTAAATCCCAGTACTTTGGGAAGCTGAGGTGGGCAGATCACTAGAGGCCAGGAGTTCAAGACCAGCCTGGCCAACATGGTGAAGCCCCGTCTCTACTAAAAATAGAAACATTATCTGGGCGTGGTGGCACAGGCTTGTAATCCCAACTACTTGGGAGGCTGAGCCAGGAGAATCGCCCAGGAGACAGAGGTTGCAGTGAGCTGAGATAATGTCACTCACTGCACTCCAGCCTGAGCAACAAAGTGAGACCCCGTCTCAAAAAAAAAAAAAAAAAAAAAAAAAAAAAAAAGCCTCTAAGTTTGGTTCATCTGAAAATTTCATGAGTCTGCTTACTCTTACAAGTCCTTGCTCATAATATTGAACAAAAATCACCAAGAATAGACATGTGACACATACACCAACAGAAGTCTCTCCCCAGCAGTTCAATAAGTGGAAGGTACTCTAGCTAGCATCTCCATCGTTCAACTGTACCCCAGTATATCAACAAACACATTATGAGTGGTTCAAATGAATGCTTTTCTGAAATGATGCCATCCTCAATGGGGAAGTTTCCCAGTCTATCAATCTCCATGCAGCATAATTTGTAGAAGTCCTACCTTTCATTTCTAGATGCTAATCGATCTTCTATTCAATGGAAGATCTAGCCTACTGGTGTCTCATTTTTTATTCTTCCTACAATTTAGAAAATCAGATCAGCATAAGAACTTTATTTTTAACAAATATTAATATAAAAGTATTACGTGTTTTTCTACTGCCCATATCTGTTCTGTCCAAGCCATGTACATTCATGTTAAATAAATACCGTCTTTTAAAACATAAATAGCATGGTTACTCCACATTGACTCCTGATGTCCCAAGATGTTCAAGATGCAGTAAGGAGAAATATTATTTTAAAACAATTCAAAGGGAGTGAAAATGGTAGCACACAAAGGAGGCAGCATTTCCTGCTTCTCACAAGACCATCTGCCTGTATTGTGGGCAAGATTTTTTAAAAATCCTAACTGAAAAGAAAATAATGTTAAGAGACATATGCCCATGTTTACAAGCTGAGGGAAATTGACAAGTGTGTCTGTTTCGCCAGTATTTTTACAGTCAACTGTTATACATAATGGGGAAAATTAAAATCGGTAATTACTTTTCTAGTCTGCCATTGTTTTAAATGTGCTTGGAATTTTCCTTAAGCATCCATTCCAAGTAATTATTTGTAATAGGCCAGAACACTTAAAGGGTTGTAGGGATGGATACACAGCTATTTTACAAAGTGAAATACTTTGACAATAACAAATTATTTTTCCTCCTTTCTCTCCCCAATGTTGGCTGAGTTATGTTTATACCTCACTTTGTAGATAATCCTTCTAGCTACACTTTTTTTAGGCACAGCCATTATAAAAATCTTCTGTTTGGGCTTGGCACTGCTTAGAACTAGAAATTGCTATTTGCTGCCTGCCAATTACAGAATAATTTAAGGTTTGATGCTCCCAGGCACAGTTTCTTGAAATACACAGAAAAAAATATATTAAGGTGGATGCATAATATTTTTTCTGCATTGCATAGCTTCAATTGCCTGTATAGAATTATATCCAAATTGCTAAACAAATCAATTGGAGAAAAATTATGTCTTCTAGGAAAGTGTTTTGTAATGGTTTTACTACTCTTTCTTTTGATAAGATCATAGCAAATATTTTACAAAAATTTTATATTATTTGCAACTGAATGATTTCAATCTATGAAATGTGATGGGTATAAATATTGATATAATTTTAACATAAAATTTAAACTTCTAGGAAATAATAGAGGAAGATGTGATTTTTTTAAAATCAATTTGGAATAATTAAGAAGAAAAGAAAAAAGAGAGTTAATTAAGTTTCCCGGATCTTTTCAAGTCTAAAATGCAATAATTTTTCATCTTTGTATATTCGTATCTGAATTATCCATCATTTGCAGTACGAAGCAGGAAAGCGGTAAAGCAAAGTAAATTTGTGATTTAAAAGGATCAAGTATATGGTTGAAGACTCAAAAAGCTTTTTATTTGGGACAGTAGAAGGAAATGTGCTGATTATCATGAGAACAACAAAAAAGAGAAATGAGTTATTTATGTAACCCTGTCATCATGCCTACAACACCTCGAAGGGCAGTCAGGCATAGTCTGTTATCAGGAAAAGCAAGCAAACAAAAGCCTTTATATATATATATATATAACTAATCACAAACATGCTCAGACTCCAGAAGATGGTAAAATAAAATAAAATAAAATAATTTTATTGACTTCTTTCACCTAGGTGCCTTGGTTGCACTCCCTGGAAACCATTCTTCGCATTCCCCACTTACTTCTCTTTTCTTTTCTTTTTTTTTCTTTTTCTTTTTTTTTTTTTTTTGAGACAGAGTCTTACTCTGTCGCCCCAGGCTGGAGTGCGGTGGTGCCATCTCGGCTCATGGCAACCTCCGCCTCCCAGGTTCAAGCTATTCTCCTGCCTCAGCCTCCTAAGTAGCTGGGATTACAGATGCGCGCCACCATGCTCGGCTGATTTTTGTATTTTTAGTAGAGATGGGGTTTCACCATGTTGGTCAGGCTGGTCTCCCCACTTTTCTTAATTCACCCCTGAAATACACTACCCAAACACGTAGCAACTGAGGTCTGGAAACTTCATTCTTGACTTCTTCTAAGGAAGGCCACTTTCTTCAAAATACAGCAAGACAAACACATCTAGCTCCTAGCATGACTTCAGTGTGAAAAGGCTGGGCTTGGGAGAGCAGCAGGTAGACATGCCTATTAACATTGTGCTGCCATGTTTACTTTTTTTTTGTTTACTTAAATCATGGACAGAAAGCCAAGTGTATAAGTGAAAACCCAAGGGACAATGACATGGGGTAGACTGCAGACCAAGAATAAGCAGGAAGTTAAATACCAAGATATTCCCCCAAAATAAACCAGATAGCTTGGTTTATATGGAAGAAAATAAACCAGAGTACCACTAACATAAGCATGACAGAAGGTTTTACACAAAACTTTAGCAGAAGTGGGTCCAAATTTCAGCTAGTTTCAGGAATAGTTGGTCGAGGATGGTTCTCCAAAGAGGGTGGAATTGTGCTGTTGATCAGCTGCCCTCACATGAGCGATTTGCATTTTCTTGGCGAGAAATAGTCGCTGAAGTCAAGCAGAAGAGTACGTGAGAAGGAATAGCTGTGAGACCAGGACAAGCCAAGGCCACAGTGGGATATTCTCAGTCCGTCTGGGTCTCTAGATTTACAAAGAAGCATGTTGAATCTGTAGAGGCAAATGGGAAGCTCCCCCTTCACCCTCTAAAGGTTAGCTGAAAATGAGTAAATGACAAGAGGGGGATTAATAGGAGGAAAGGACATAGAGAAGGTAATTAACATGCTTAGGGACAGGGGAATCACAGGAGGAGAATGACCCAATAATCCAGTGAGGTCCTGACACTTATTTGTATACCCTTCTTCACAGGGACAGGGTTGATGAGGAGTGTAGGGATAAATGACTTACAGGGGAAATGAATAAGCCCAAAGCACGGTGGTCTGGGACAAAGTTCCTCTGAGCTCTAGGACAGGTGGAGGGAAGGTGAGTGGTTGAGCTTCACTGTAATCAAAGGTTATCTTATTATGCAGATAAAGCCTCCCAGGTAATCTCTTGGAGCTGTCTTGAGAAGAA
The DNA here is from genome assembly GCF_000001405.40 of Homo sapiens. Taxonomy (NCBI): domain Eukaryota; kingdom Metazoa; phylum Chordata; class Mammalia; order Primates; family Hominidae; genus Homo; species Homo sapiens. The sequence continues at coordinate 147,947,177 of NC_000007.14, forward strand.
TAGATGAAAAGTCTTTCTGGGTGCAGTGGAGACTCCCAGTGTCTCCTCTTCTCCAGTGGTTAATCTTTCCTGGTTGTTTGATGAGATTCCTAGGGAGGAGGTCTTAAGACAATTGCATTTCCTTTTAAAGGGTTTTCCTAGTCAGATAAGGAAATTCCGGTTCTGGTACAGTGGCTCACACCTGTAATCCCAGCACTTTGGGAGGCTGAGGCGGGAGGATTGCTTGAGCCCAGGAGTTCAAGACCACCCTGGCCAACATAGGGAGACCCTGTCTCTACAAAAAAAAAAAAAAAAAAAAAAAATTAGTTGGGCATTGTAGTGCATGCCTGTGGTCCCAGGTTCTCAGGAGGCTGAGGTGGGAAGAATTGCTTAAGCCAGGGAGGTAGAGAGGCTGCAGTGAGCTATGATCGCTCAACTGCACTCCAGCCTGGGTGACAGAGAAAGACCCTGTCTCTAAAAAAACAAAAAATAAAATTCCAGCAAGAGTAGCTCCCAATGCTTCAGGAAAGAAAAGAGATCAGAGTGGGGCTTGGGAGGGAACACTGGAGAGACCTTGGTTCTGAGGCTTATTTCTGATGCCTTTAATTTCCTTTAATTCAAAGCATGCCAAAGAGCCATATTTTTGGAGGAGTATTTTCTGAGCCCCAAGAACTCCTCACAATGCAAAATGGATGCCTGGCTTTCATTTTTTTAAAATGATTTATTTACCTTAAAAATAAACTTGGATTCATTTGATCTTCATAATCCCTGTAGATAATTTAGGCTTCCAAAGGAAACATGGTCTCTATTGGCCTAATTACCAATAACCAAGTTAAATTCCATTTCTGTACAGAATTTTTTTAAAATTTACCTCACAATCTAGAAAGAGGAGAAAAAAATACCTTAAAAATTAATTATTTTCAAAGCCATGTATATGCAGATTTGGTCATGGCTTATTCAGAACACATTAGAATTATTTTAAATTCTAAGTATCCTCAATGGTGAACTTAAAATTTCATTCTAGGGGGAGGGGGGCATGGTTAATGAGTAGAAAAAAATAGAAAGAATGAATAAGACCTACTATTTGATAGCACAACAGAGTGACTATAGTCAATAATGACTGAATTGTACATTTTAAGATAACTGAAAGAGTGTGATTGGATTGTTTGTAACACAAAGGATAAATACTTGAGGGGATGGATTCCCCATTCTCCATGATGTGCTTATTTCACATTGCATGCCTGCATCAAAACATCTCATGTACCCCCATAAGTATATATACCTATTGTATACCCAGAAAATTATTTTAATAAAATAAAAATAAAATAAATGAAATAAAATTTTATTCTAGCCATTCCAGGAAAAAAAAAAAGCCCCATTTTGCAAAGATGATTATAACCATATATATCATATGATTATCACCTTGTTTTCATACACACAAGCATATATGTATGTATATATACATATATATTTACACACACACACACATATACACACACACACATATATATATGTGTGTGTGTGTATATATATACAGTTGACCCTTGGACAATGCAGGGGTTAGGGCTATGTCCTGCACAGTCAAAAATCTGCATATAACATTGGACTCCCCAAAATTTTAACCACTAATAGCCTACCGTTGACTGGAAACCTTACCCATAACATAAACAATCGACTACCACATATTTTGTATGTTATGTATATTATATATTGTAATCTTACAGTAAGCTACACAAAAGAAAATGTTATTAAGAAAATCATAATGGCCAAGCACGGTGGCCCACACCTGTAATCCCAGCACTTTGGGAGGCTGAGGCGGGTGGATCACCTGAGGTTGGGAGTTTGAGACCAGCCTGAACAACACGGAGAAACCCCATCTCTACTAAAAATACAAAATTAGCTGGGTGTGGTGGTGGATGCCTGTAATCCCAGCTACTCAGGAGGCTGAGGCAGGAGAATCGCTTGAACCCAAGAGGCGGAGGTTGCAGTGAGCCGAGAAGAACCATTGCACTCCAGCCTGGGCAATAAGAGCGAAACTCCGTCTAAAAAAAAAGAAAAGAAAAAAGAAAGAAAATCATAATGAAAAGAAAAATATATTTACTAGTCATTAAGTAGAAATGGATCATCATGAAAGTCTTCATCCTTCCTGTCTTCACAATGAGTAGGCTGAGGAAGAAGAGACGAGGTTGGTCTTGCTGTCCCAGGGGTGAAAGAGGCAGAAGAAAATCCATGTATAAGTGGACTCACACAGTTCAAACCTGTGTTGTTCAAGGATCAACTGTGTGTATATATATATATATATATTTTTTTTTTTTAGGTTTATTGCAGGAACAAAATCCTCTCTCCAAAGCTATAATCCTGACTGGCTCAAGATGTCTTAAGAAACTTAGAAACACAGCTAGGAATAAATTACAGCCCAGGCTAGTTGGTTGTTCTCCCGGAATGAGCGAATTCAAAAGGAACCTGGTTATTTAGCAAGAAATAGACTCAGTGACCTCAGCAGCATTCTAATGCATGGAAAGGTCAGAGAGGTTTCGTACCACTCTGCTGGGTCAGATGGAAGCCAGAGAAGCTGTTGGGGTCTCCTTGAAGGTTGACCCTGGGCTGCAGGTCAGGAAACCCAAGTAGGATTCCAGGAATGGATTGCTAAGAAGCTTCGAGGAGAATGGCTTCCACCCATGACTGAGAATTGAATTGAGGTCCAGGTAGAATGGGTAGTACCTGGTCACAGCCCATAAGAAATAAGAAGAGGCTATGATTTGAATTGGTATTAATAACAAAGAAGAAAAGCAGCATTTACTTCGGGCACAAGGCCAGCCAGCCTGCTCTCAGAAGCTAAATGCAAGTGACATTTTCTTGTCAAATCCCAACTTTTACCCATCAAAGGCTTGGGGAGAAAGGGAATCCATTGCAATGAGTTGGTTCTGTAGATAGCCCTGCAGAATCCTGGGGGGTGTTTCACACGCCAGAGACCAGGATGGGTTGCGGAAAGCAGTTAACTACCAAGTATAGTAAGGGAGGCACAGTAACTCACCTGGAATTGACTTTGCAAGCTGAAGACTGTTTTCAACTGTGACTGTGCCATTAGGATTAATGCAATTCATACAGTTGGCTAGCACATCAGATAAATATGATGAATTGTCCTTATATCCTTAGTCCAGTGAGAACTGGCTTTTCCATCACAGCTTAAGCTATACACATAGAGAGGCAAAAAAAAAAAAAAAAAAAAAAAAAAAAAGACCTTACAGTTTTGTTTATTGTGCTTATCACAAGTGCTGGAAACTCACATTTTCATTGCTAATAGCCCTCTTTGAAAGTTTGTTGACATTTCAGCTGATCTTTAATGTGCTCTACTGTTATAATACCCTTGGGCAAAGTCAGTTTCCAATAGGAAAATAGACAGCTTCTGGGTACCCCTGTGGAAGCTGCACAAACACAAACAGACTGGCACCCCAGCCTGCAATACCTGGTGAGCTCTGCTCTGTCCGAATCACAGAAGGGTGGCAGAATATATAACCTCAAAGCATGCCACTTTGGCATAAGGATTATGTTGAAGTAAAGGCTCTTGAAAAATAGCAGATACAAGAAGAGCACTTTGACCTTCCTTTTTCTTCCTAAAAGCAGGAGATAAATCTCCAGGGGAAAGTTGTTGTCCCTGTATTGGGAGGAAGAAACATTCTTATCACCAGAGATAGGGAGTGAAGGTCAAGAGAAATCCGTACCAAAAAACTTTGTTAAATTAACCTTATCTGTCTCTTCACTTTTCTACAATTAACTGCTCTGGCCCAAGCCTCTTTGTCTTGCCATGTTTTCACAAGGTGCTCCTCTTCATCCAACTTAGGATATAAGCATCTGACTCTAACTGCTTCTTTGGGTCTTCATTTTCCTATGTGAATTCCCATGTCCATTTAAAATCTGTATACTCCTATCTTGGTAATTATCTGATAGCGATTTAATTCTCAGGCCCAGCCGAGGACTCTCAGAGGGCAGAGAGAAAGTTGTGCCTTCCAGGATCACTGTATTTGGGAGCCTGGAAGACGAAGAATGGAGCCCAGTAAATAGAGAGGGAAGGAAAGACATTTAAACAGGTTCCTAAAGAGAATGTGAGGACACGTAAGAACAACAGTAAGAAAAAGTACAGAAAGAAAAATTTACAATCTATTCTACAGAGCAAATTGAGGTATTTCTTCTGTAATAGGGAAAGAGGAAAGAGAAGATTCATGACTGACCATCAGTAGGCTTTATAGTGGAGAGAGAATTGTCCAAACCTCCGTATAATCAAGCACATATCCTGATTCTTAGAATATATGTTCCAAACTAAATTAAGAAAGGGTGATGCTGGACAGAAGCAGTTATTAATTCTGGGGTCAACAGGATAAAAATAGTCAGAAATGAACGTTGTGGTTTGGGAATATAAGCAGCTGAATTCAAAATAAGAATTCTAATAGAAAGTGTTAAATCAAAGAGCAGTTCATAAAGTCAGAGCTAGACCTTGGGTGGGGGGAAGAGCAATTCAAAAATTTAGAGCAGCATGTATCTTAAAAATAAATTTTATTGAAAAATGAGAACACATGGACACAGGGAGGGGAACAACATACAAGGGGGGCCTGTCCGGGGGTAGAGGGCAAAGAGAGGAAGAGCATTAGGACAAATACCTAATGCATGCGGGGCTTAAAACCTAGATGATGGGTTGATAGGTGCAGCAAACCACCATGGCACATGTATAGCTATATAACAAACCTGCACATTCTGCACATGTATCCCGGAACTTAAAGTAAAATTAATTAAATAAAAAAAAATGAAAATGAAAATAAATGTTGTTATGAGAACTCATAGTGGCATGGCCCCAATTTTAGAAACTGAGCTTAATACAGTTAATAGGTAAATGTTAGATGAATACCTCAAACTGAATGTTAATGCCAAAATTAAGATCATTCTTTGGTTCAAAATATAGAGCATGTTTATATCTTAATTAAAAGCAGTCATACTTAAATCTCTCCTTTTCGGCCAGGCACGGTGGCCCACACCTGTAATCCCAGCACTTTGGGAGGCTGAGGCGGGTGGATCACCTGAGGTTGGGAGTTTGAGACCAGCCTGAACAACACGGAGAAACCCCATCTCTACTAAAAATACAAAATTAGCTGGGTGTGGTGGTGGATGCCTGTAATCCCAGCTACTCAGGAGGCTGAGGCAGGAGAATCGCTTGAACCCAGGAGGCAGAGGTTGTAGTGAGCCAAGGCCACGCCATTGCACTCCAGGCAGGGCGAGAAGAGTGAAACTCTGTCTCAAATAATAATAACAATAATAAAATAAATCTCTCCTTTTCATTATTTATAGAAAATCATAGTATTTTGGCACATTAAATTGAACATATTTCTTTAAGTAATTAAATGTACGCCTATCATAATGTATTCCTCCTGGTACTTAACTATCATAGATTATTAGCAGTTTAGTGTTTAAAGGGAACTCAGGACTGAGAGTTTTAAAAACTTAGACTCACAGTAAGAAAGTCATCTCATGTTGATGAAGTATAAATATGCACATACACACACAGACACGTCACATGCAGGTACATAACTAAAATGAAAGCTTCCTGAAATAATACTTATTTACACTTTGTACAGAATCGAATGCACTTTATTTCCTAGTCTTTGCATTTTAAAAATATACTTATTTTTTTTAATGCTGCTCCTGGTTCCCCAAATTGAAATTACTATCTACCAATGTATCTCAATTTACAGTTTGGAAAACACTGCCTTAGGGAATAGCTAGTCTAATTTTGCACCTGAGAAACGTAGAGATTTAGGGAATATTCCCAAGGTCACGTAGTATGTGGCAAAGCAAGCCTGTGCTGTCTTCTAAGTTCTGGCGTAATGAGTTTTCCCCAATCTTACATTGTTACATTGTTTTCAAGATGAATGGTCATGTATAGTGTACTCTTTGCCTCTCAAATTTGATGAAGTAAGCATTATTCCGTTGCTACGTGTCTTGCTCACTTTGCGTTTTCTTAGTTTCATAGGAAGCATCAGTTGTGCTAAGTTTTATTTGTGTGTTCCATTGTCTCTTCCCCCTAAACTGAAAGCTTCCTGAGAATAGTGTGTATTCTTATCAATATCCCCTAAACCAAGCTGAGTAGTGTGAATGATTGAATCCTTAGAAAGACAAGCTCATGTAGTCAAATAGTCTAAATTACATGAGTGGGACAAAAATATCAGCATCCAGGTAGCCACAGATGCTCTTCTTTCCTTCTAAGAAATACGATTCTCATTCCATACCTAGATGATGGGTTGATAAGGTGCAGCAGACCACCATGGCACACGTTCACCTATGTCACAAACCTGCATGTCCTGCACATGTATCCTGAAACTTTAAATTTTAAAAAAGGAAATATCAATTCTATTGGTTATGCTGATTAGAGTAATAAGTGGAGAGGGAATTGAGAAGTTCTAAGACAAGCTGTGTTAGTATCCTAGGGCTGCAGCAACAAAGTACCATAAACAGAGTAGCCTAAAGCAACAAAAATTTACTCTCTCAAGGTTCTAGAGGCCAGAAGCCTGAAATCAAGGTATCAGCAGGGCCATGATCTCTCTCGTAGCTTCTGGTGGTTGCCGGAAACCCTTGGTGTTCTTGGCTTGTAGACACATCGCTCCAACCTCAGCCTCTCTTGTCACGTGGCATTCTCTCTGTGTTTTCTGTGTCCAAATTTCCCCCTTCCTATTAGGACACTAGCCATTGGATTAGGGCCCATCTTAATCAAGTATGACTTGATTACATCTGCAAAGGTCATATCGAGAAGTACCAGGGGTTAGAACTTGAAAATATCTTTTTGGAAGACACAGTTCTACCCACCACAGAAGCTACACCAATTTACATGAAAAAGAACCTAAGTAGATCTAGAAGAGTTGGAGAGAGAAATGGGATAGAAGGGAGATGAGCAGGAAGACATGAAAGCAAACAAATGAGTTATCTTCAGGGGAGAAAAGTGCTTGTCCAGTGTACTATGGAGAGACGCATAAATGAAGATGACTTTAATACATTCTGCTTTGCATCATGCAACATAACTTTTTTTCTTTTGGTGCCTCTCACAGAGACCTCTGTAAATCCTAAATTATCTTTTAAGACTTTGTTCAAGTCAGATTTTTTAGAGTTATTTCAGATGTTATGTTATTGCAGGAAGCAGCTCACAAGTGACCTAGCATTAAAGATAATAAAAGCTAATGTTTTTATGTGAGTAGAAGATATAGCATTGCATTTAAACTATAGTTTCACCATTATACAGAAGGAAAAGAAGACAGCAAGCAGAAGAGACAATAATGATATATTGACCTTACTGAAAGATGATGACATAAAGCAGTAGGATTTATCATTTTTTGTAAGTTACTGAACATTGATTCAGTGTTATGCATCTTGTTCTTCTATATATTAAGCAATTATGTTTATTTCTAGCACTGAAAAGCATAGTTATTTTCAGCCAATAATTGCTATTTGAATGCTATAGTTAATGTTTTTATAATTTTTAGATGACAATTTTATTTTAATTAACTCTCTTAGAAACAATCATTTATTTATTTGCTCAGCAATATGTGTTCAGTATCCAAAGTGTGTTAGACACAATTCAGTATATCCGTCCCCTATATCGAGAGTCTAGTTAGAGTGAGTTAACAAAAGCTTTTATTCATGGGAATTTATAGTATAAAAGTGTACAATAGTATAAAAAGGCTGAAAGATTTCTATAGTGATTTCACTATGAAGAGATCTCTCTGATATTTTTCTTCCCTTTCACCTTATCCAGTCTCCAACGTTTCTGTAAAAAACAGCTACACCCACTTTTTTCTTCCTGTCAGGTGAATCCAGATAGTGCAGCAAAGTTGAGCCACCGACACTGAATTTCCCACCACAAGTGAAACAGCAGAAAAGGCTTTCCAAGTTCACTGTAGGGAAAATAAAAGCCATGTGATATTTATTGCACATCCAAGTATATGGATTAAGATTAATTCCTCTGGAGCAATAATGATCACACTTTTTAAATCTTACAACTCGTTGATAGTCATCAAAATTGAAGATCCAAAAAGCTTTTATTTTTATGAGTTTTACATATCAGAATTTCATGTATTAGAAATTAAAACTGACAAACTTTAAATATTTATTTTAAGACAAATGATATACTTTAAATATTAATTTAAGACAACATTAAAAACCCTCTACTTATTAGCATAACATGCTTTTATTTTTTAAAAAAACTACATTATTCCAAAACAAAAAAAGATTAATGAGAAGAGTAGTGTTGTTCCATTACACACCCATGAGTGAATGAGAGTGAAAAAGGAAATTGATGTCTTAATATTATTATGAAAATTATTTGGTCCAATAGTTAATGGATCCCCTGAAAGGTATTCAGAACCCCCAGTTGTCTCCTGGCCACATTTAGAGAATTTCAGCCCTAGAATGTTCTGATATGTAGTGGAGGAAATTGATTCTATAGTACAGAATCAGAGGGCAACTCACTGGCCTGCTCCCCACCTCAGCTATCATATGATGCACAGTCCCTGACCAAGTGGATCGGAAATGTCTCCTGTTGTAGGTCAAGGTATCCCTGAGAACCACAAACTGAGATATGGACAAAAGAGCAAAAGCGCCGTGCACATATCTTGAGATGCAGGTTAAAGAACAAAACAAGAATGCATGTATTTTATCTCAGGACACTAAGTCTCCAAAGAATGGCTTGTGATGGGGGTACAGACTTGACCCAAGAATTACTGACTATAATCAAACCACAGTTTAACAGAGGTGCTATTTATAGTGAAAAATTTTCCCCCAAGCAAGAATTCCATAGTAAAGTAAGATCACAGTTGCACACTGCAAATCTTTAAAAGAAAATTCCAGAATTTATAGCTTACTTAGCCTACTTAGCTACTTGCTTTGCTCATATATACCAGTTCTTTCAACTACCACAAAAATAATAACTATTTGAATATACTCAATAAACAGGCATTGTGAAATTTGAATTTTACAACATAGAATTTGGTTACTGTTCCTGTTAAAACACAAAATACATGAGTGAATATTTATGTGTATATTTTTCAATAATGTTTTCCAAATGACCTTTGGAGAATATCTCAAGATGATTATTTCTTTGGCAGGGGGCAAAAAAAAAAAAAAGCTATCAGTGAGATAAGCACATCAATCGAACTGTTTTCATTTGAGCCATGTTTAAATGAGCTAGGATGCAAAATAGAAATTCTGGAAATATCCAAAAGAAAGATGTACATGTCCTCTGATTTCTCCTAAGTCTGGACAGAATTGGCAGCAGAGGCTCTAATGAAATCTTGCAATTAGTCTGAGAAGCCCATTCAGAGAGCTTCACTGTGTTCAGCCTTCTGCCGCTGACACCCTTGCCTGAAGACACATGCCCATATCGAAGCACATGCAGATGCCTTTCCTCATACCTAGACCCTGAAATGACCATGGACCGCAGGATTCTCATGTGAGATTTCAGTTTACTGCTTAATTTTTCATCTTGATTGGACTTTTCATCCATCATATCAGGAAAAGCTGAATATACAGACCCAGACATAGATAGGTTTGGGGACAGGAAGAAGATTTAATTCTACTTAGATTGATCCCATTTTTTCTTTTCTTTTCTAGAAATGAGTGAGATCATTTGCTGATCCTGAGGTGTGGAGGGAAAAAGTCTTGGCTAGAGGTGTAAGAGAATGTGTGGAAGATGGAATTGACTAAAGAAAGTGATAGGGTTGTCCTGCAGGTCTGAGGACCCAGGTGATATTCATGGTCTCCATGTAACGCATAACTGGTCAGCACCTTTTGTTTGCTTGTTTTTCTCCAAGTTTTACTGCTTAGATGCGGTAAAATAACATCTGGCATTCCCAGAGTTGGTTTTCCAAGTAATGTCACTTACTGAGGCAGGAAGGAGAAAAGGTGTTTGAGGTTTGAAGAGACAGGGGAAAAAGTCTGTTAAGAGAAAAGGAGTGAAAGTGACCAGAAATAAGTTAGTAGGATTGACAGGAACTAAATGGGTTAGCATGGGTTAGCAGAGAATGAGATGTAAACTCTGTTGGGGTTTTGCTGACAAATACGATGGAGAGAGCTGAAGTTGTTTGTTTGTTTGTTTGTTTCTCAAAGATGTGATAATTACAGTGAACCTTGGAATCTAAACTAATGAAGAAAAGGAGTGAGGACAAGAGAGTGAAAAAGTGATAGTCAATGAATTGAAGGTCCCAGGAGAAGAAATACTGTATTTGAGAACCAGAGTAAATGAAATGGAAAATTAAAGGCAGTGGTCAGAAGTCAGCATAACTAGAATAAAAGTTTGAAAAGATAATGACTAAGTCAAGGGTATCACCAGGGGAGTAGGTGGCTGAAGTGCAATCGGATGAAAAAACAGTGGGAAACGAGATGCTCAAAGAAATGGGAGGTTCGTAGGTCACTGTGGTCCAGAATTGCAATGATTATGTATTCAGTTCCGGTTAACCAAGAAATTAAGCATTTTGCAATTCTAAAATCATCAGTTGATATACTAAAATTAAAGTCTAAAATGCCATGAACATTATGTTAGATACATATATATTAAATGGAAATCAAATTGTATACGTAAAAAAAGATATAAAGAAGAAATATAGGGCTAGACATAGTGTCTTATGCCTATAATCTCAGCACTTTGGGAAGCCGAGGTGGGAGGATTGCTTGAACTCAGGAGTTGGAGACCAGTCTGGACAACATGAGGAGACTCTGTCTCTAAAAGAAAATTAAAAATTAGCCAGGTGTGGTGTCATGCACCTGTGGTCCCAGCTGCTTGGAAGGCTGAGATGGAAGGATTGCTTGAGCCTTGGAGGTTGAGGCTGCAGTGACAGATGTTTGCACCACTGTACTTTAGCCTAAGTGATAGAGTGAGACTGTCTCAAATAAATAAACCAATAGGACATATTAATAAATACTGTGATCTTAAGCAAAGACGCTTTAACTTTCTAGAGCTTAGTTTTCTCATCTGTATCACGAGTAATTTGAATTAAATTATCTAGAAGTTAATTCTTTGCCTGAAATGGTTTGTTTCCTTTATCCAATATTACTCATTGATTATAATGATCACCAAAAAATGAATACTTACGTGAATACTAGAGAAAAAATATTGCTTAATTTTGAAAATACAAATTGCTTATTTGTAGAAGCTATTTTGGTTTTATTTGTATGTTTATTTAAAGTTTGCGAGGGAACCAGGGTTATCAGGATCACTCTGATCTGAAATCTGAGATTTGGGTAATCTCACTTCTATCCAAAAATCTCTAGGACATCAAGCTCATCAAGGTCTTCAGATGCTCATGATGCATTAATTGCCCTTTGAGAATAACTGCCTAAGAGATGGATGTTTATATTGATTTTATGGTAGATATTTTCTTCTTCATGGGAGTGGAATTCCTTTTACAGGTTGATTCACAAACCTAGAGCCAAAAATATAACTGAACTATTACAGATTTAAAGTATAGATTGCATAATTTTGTAAAAATATTATCATACAAATTCTAACATATCGTGAGCTGAATTATACTACCACAACTAAAACTCAATTACTTATAGGAGTCAGACGTATATTCTAATAAGACAGACACTGAAATTGCTATTTTTGTCTGCTGGCCAAATTAACTCCCAACTCATCAGTTTGCCTCCCATTCCCTAAAGCCTTGTGCATATGAATTACCTGGCACTATTGCTAAATACAGATTTTTTTGCAGTAAGTGTAGGGTGGAATCTGTAATTCCACATTTCTAACAAGGTCCCAGGTGTGTCAGTGCAACACATCTAAGGACCACACTGAACATAACTCTATACAAAAAGGCTCCACTTTTTATTAAACTGTGATTCTGAAAACCCAAGTAGAAATCAGGTTTTTAAAAACTTATCATTCCTTTCTTTGGCTGTTGAGACTTGTATTTCTCCATGCCATATCAGACAAATTGCATTTACCTGGTTCCCTCTGAATTAGCAATCTTAGGAACTTCAGCTACTCTCAGATTCTATTCCGTTATTTCAGAGTTCCCAGTGGTTGGCTCAAGTGTGAGTGCACATTCAGGTTTTCCAGTTGCCTCATAGCGTCTTTCCATGACCTTCTCCCTTATTCCAGCTCCTGCTTGGGTGTCTCTGGCACCTTCTTAGGACAGATGTGGGTTGTCCAATGCTCAGGACACTGAATCCAGCTCAAGTACCCACCATGAGTTTGATGCAAGGCAAGCGAGCCCCAAAGTGGGGCTTAGCCCATGAGGGTTCTTGGCTTCTCCCAGGAAAGAATTTAAGGGCAAGCCAATGGTAGGGTAGAAGAAAACAGCTCTTATGGAAGTGGCCGTGTTACAGTTCTGTGATTGCTCCCACAGAGCAGGGCTACCCCACAGGCAGTGTGCTGAGAGTAGCAACTCGGGGCAGTTCTGCAGTCATGTTTATACCGACCTTGAATTACATGTAGATTAAGGAGCAGCTTATGCAGACATTTCTAGAAAAGGGGTAGTAACTTTGGGGTCATCAGGTCATTGCCATGGGAAGGGGTGGTAACCCCCAGGTGTTGCCATGGCGATGGTAAACTGACAGGGCATGCTGGTGGGTGTGTCTTATGGAAAGCTACTCCTGCCCCAGTCCTGTTTTAGCTAGTCCTCAACTTGGTTCAGGATCTGAGCCCCACCTCTGGAGTCGAGTCCCAGTTGGTACCTCAACTTCAAGTGAAGAAAGTCACTTAATTCAGTTTTTTGTTGCCCCCTTACCAATAACTTGAAACCATTTGAGTGGCCTCTCATCCTATTCAAAACTACTCCTTTCCCTTAAGCCTAAAACATTATCCTTGGAATAAGCCTCAGCACCTCGACTCTCTCCTTCCTTTAGGCTCAGAGAACTGATGACTACTTCATGCCAATACATCCTTGGCAAGCCACCTAGTAGGCTGCCATTCCCACAGCAAGCCCAGCAGAACCATCAGAGTCATGGAGTGGTTATAGTTTAGGCTCTTAAGTTGGAATTCCCAAGGACACTATAACATAGTGTTCCTGCATGGGTGAGGGAAAAATAATAACTGGTTTTTATGGAGGGCTAGGAGAGGTAGATGAATTACCTGGTGCAAAGCCGGAGTCAGCATCTGTAACTGATGAGTGAGCAGGACAAGTTAGAGTTCTATGAGGAAGCTTTATGCCGTCACTGGCAAAATTTGAGGCAGCAAAATGCAAAGGAACTCAATAAATGGTGAGATGATTAACCAATGAGGTGGTACTGACTCCAGCAGTGGTGTTATTGAAAGTTCAGGTATATTCAATTATAACACATTTTAAATCTTGGATTGCCTGAAATCAGCCTGCCAAATATGAGAATAATCCAGGCAGACAAGGACAAAGAACATTACACAATAATGATACTAATAGGCAGTGTCCTGTACATTGTAATTGTACAATAGTGACAGTAATAGGCAGTGTTTTCCAGCATCAACTGGAGTATCATTTCCTATCCCAAGTAAGTTAAACACAGGATGAGCTCAACATCCTAAGGTCCAGAGGAGAGTGGACGGTAGTGAGTTATGCTGTCTCCCTGTGGTGCCCAGGGACTCTCTCTCTGTCAAAGATGCTGTATCTAATTACCTAGGCTCTTTCTTTCTCCTTTCCTCCTCCTTTCCTCCCTCTCTCCCTCCTTCTCTCTCTCTGTCTCTCTCTTTCTTTCTTTATGCCCTAGAAATAAGTCTTTTTCTTCTTTCCCAGAAATCATGGTGATAAGTAGAAGCCTGCATGCAGGAAATTATTGAATATAACAAAAAAACATAGTTGGTGAAGTTAACTCAAGACAAAAATTATATACAAAGAGGTAATTGCATATAGATTAGAGAAGTCCAGTGTATTCCCTTTTTGTAAAACGCCTTCTGAATCGAGTATCTTTTGATTCCATACAATTCTGTCTCCCCTCACATCTGACCTATTCATGTCAGAGATCTCCTACCTGGCTCCTTTTTCATCTAGTAATTAATTTATATCCCTGTCCTAACTTCTATCTCCTGCTCCCCTCAACATTATATCTCTTTTTATAACTAGGATATACTCAAATGAAAAAATCCATGTATCTTACTATCTTCTGCCTTCTTCTAAATAGTTGTGCTTCCTTTTGATCTATTTATTTGCTACACCAGGAATATTTGACATTTCCTGGAGAAGTAGGAATCTCTTGTATGCTCATTTGAAATGAGCTAGTGTGGTTATTTAACAAATATGCAGAGCAACAATGCACAAGATGATCAAAAGATATACGTGGAGAAGGAAGTTCTCTATTTCACACCACTGAGTTACATTTTAAGCATGGGGCTTGTGAACTAATACCACTGTTCACCTTCTCAAAAGGGCATGGTATTTAGGAATGGCATTATTACAGTTTTCTACAGTTTTCCAATAGAAGACATTAAATAAATGAGAGAACATTTCTATTGGGCAATATTAAAACCTTTACTTCCACATCCACTGCTTTCGCCAGCTTGAACAGATTAGTTATTCCCAGTAGATTATTCTCATTGGTAATTCTGTAATAAAAGATTCTAGATATTGTGCATTTTCATCACTGGCATTACAATTTTTATTTCAGAATCTTGGTCATCGAATATTCATTATCTAATTATAATAAAAATGCATGATTCCCTTAGGAATGCCTATAACTAAATGAATATGAACTTTATTAAAGGAATTAAATTAGGAGATTAAAATTATTCAAAGGGGGTAACAACTTTATTCTTAAAGAACTGTAGGATTGCAATACTAGGAAAGAAAGAGAATAGGAAAGGCAACAGAAAAGTAGTAAAAAGAAACAGAAACAAAACAGATAGATCCCTGATGTGCTATGATGGGGAATAGAGTATTAATTTAATTATTCAGTTATAAATAAACTAAAGCCTAAGCCTAGTAAATTATGTGCTCCTTGAAGATTAGAGTTAGGACTGATTAATCTTTGCATTCCCCACCAGACCAGGCAGTGCCTGGAATGTAGTGGACACTCAATAAATTTTTGTTGAATTAATAAGGAAGCAAATTCTATATGAAAATGATAACAAGTTTATGAGTACTTTTTCAAGTCAGTTTGCAGATACAAGTTTAAGGAAATTCATACTCGGATATAGTTAGAATGTGTATACTGAATTAGAATGTTAGTCTATGTGCTTTGGGAATTAATTTTGAAGCTCAGGAAGCTATGCAAGAGGCAGCCAAGCTCAGAGGAAGGGTGAGAGACTTGATCAGCTGCCCCTCCCTGTCTTGAACTATTTCCTGTTATAGATGGAAATCATCCTTCATTACCTGGGAAAAAGTATGAGCCCAAAGCAGAATTAGCCTTCTTTATACATGTGTTGAATTTGTGTTCCCATCATATTAAGTATTAAAGGAAATGATTATGAGCTGTTTGTTGGACAGTAAAGGGAAGTGATAATGATAATTTTAATATAGTTAACATTAGCTTGAAACACATGAAACTGATATTTTTGTGTGTAAACACCTAAGTGAATATTGACAATTTCACATGGTTTAATTTAATATTGATCAAATGCTACGTGGTAGGCACTGTGCTAAGTAATGTATAGTCCATTAATTTGTTTAAATTTCATCCAAAAAGCTTTGTAATAGATGAGGAAATTAACAATAAGTTAGGGAACTTGCCCAACATACAAAGAGGACATAGAAGGTAAACAGTTTAACATCAGAGTCCCTTTTCTTAAACAGAATACTATCCTGCCAGGGAAAATATGGATGTCATAAATTATGTTATCAAAATCTTGCCTTCCAATCACTTATTTATGTCAACAAAAATGTGACAATAAGATATACCATGGTTAATTCACAGTGCGAAGTGTCTGCTTCTAGAAAGGTGAAATTTGCTTATAATACAGTTATTATTATACCACTGCAATATCGAGGTCAAGTTCTATGGCTACAAAATGACATAATCTTTACTCAAGAAGGTCACATTGCAGTAAAGAGGACATAATTATAAAGAGTATTACATCACTAGAGTTAGATTTTTTTTTGTTGGTCAAATGACTCAATCCAAAAAGTAGGATACATAGTAAGAATGTGCTATAGAGACAAAGAGATAAATATCTGAAACCAAGGCCCCAGAAAATTAACAATCTATGTCAACCATAACTGTATTATCCATGTGAGTCAATTTCTATGGGAAATACAGTTCTGTTATCTATGGATAATACAGTTCTTCCTAGAGGAAGAAGCAATTAATTGATCTTGGAGGGGTCAGGGAGAGTTTCATAGAAGATATAACAACTTTACAAGGCTTGAGGGATGAGTGGGATTGCATTAGGCAGAGAAAAGAAGAAAGACATCCTAGAAAAGGGCGCAACATGTACAAACAGAGGAATGTGTGACAGTAAACAGTCACGTTGAGGAACAGTAAATGGTTTATGTGGCTAGGAGGCAAGTTTGATACCACATTATATTCTGTATTCCTAAAACACCCAGACACGCGAAATGCTGAAACAGTAACTTGGACTCTTTTGTGAAGATCCCAGGACTGGAAATTTCTACTGTGTCCTAGAAAGCAATGATAAGCCAACGATGCTGTTTCCTTCTCGAGCTATAACTTTCATAGAGGGAAGTGCACACATCTTAAATGGACAGCTTAGGCATTGTTACATATTAGTATACCCATGAAATTATCACCCAGATCCCTTGCTTGGAAGACCAAATGTCTTTTTTCCCCCCTCAGAAATTTATTACCATTTTTCAGAATTAATATTTTCTAAAACCCAATATAAAACATTATATATAACCATTATGGACTGAACTGTGTCCTCTGAAAAACTCATCTATTAAGCCCTAACTCCCAACATGATTGTATTTGGAGACAGGGTCATTAAGGAAATTATTTAGGTAAAATGAGGCCACAAGAATGGGGCCTTAATGCGATGGGGGTGGTGCCCTTATAAGTAGAGGAAGAAACACAGGAGAGGTTCCTTTCTCCACTTTAGTTCATGGAAAGGCCATATGAGGACACGGTGGGAAGGTGGCCCTCCACAAGCCAAGGAGAGAGGCATCACCAGAAACCAACTCTACCAACATGTTGATCTTGGACTTCAAGCTTTCAAAACTACCAGAATATAAATGTCGTCTAAGCCACCCGATCCATGGTGTCTCAATACGGCAGCCTGAGCAGACTAATCCAACAGTCTCGAAGAATTAAATTTAGAATTGGTCATCAAGATTTTGTTCACCTCAAGGAAATAAAATGACTCAATCCTCCACGGATTTGTTTCCATCATTTTCCTTTCCTATTTTCAGATTATTTGCAACCTGGAGACTGCCCTGCAAAAGCACGTGGCAATTTCCCCTTCTGGATCCTCACAGGAGAAAAATAAATTCACATTAACAAATATTCAGATGCTTTATTTATTCTGAAAAAAATAAAAAAGTGAAATTGCTAAATTGCTAAATTGAGTTTTTCACTGGTCAAAATTTACATAGCCCAATAGGTGTAGGCTCCTTACTCCTTTTGAGGCATTTTCTCTCTCTTGATTAACAGTGATGGATTTTTATTGCCCCACTTCTGAGAGGAGGATTTATATGTCTTTTAATCTGTGTAAGTTGGACTGAATCATAAATGGTTCACCCTCTAAATTACAGAGTAAGTTTGCCAATAGAGATGACCTTGTTTATTAAAATCTAATTAACTGAAGTTTTAGAATGTCCCTGAGTGGGTTGCTGAATTTCTGATTTTCTCCAAACCAATATAGATCAAATATCCAGCTGGCTGGAGTTAACCACAAAGCTCTGAACCTCACTGTGAAATTATCTAGTTAATTCCTCTTTCAGACATTTTTTCCAAAGGTACAAGCCCAAGAATCCTTTAATATGTTGGCCATCCTATTTCAGAAAAGCCATGTGCCCAATTATGAGTTGGAGAAAGAAGCCCAGGTGCTCCTTGTTCACTGCAACTGAAATGAGAGGACCCTGGAGTGTAACTTTCATTCCCCAGCAATGGTCAGTCAGAATGTCTCTGATCATGTGCCACTTTTCATCTTCTGGACAAAGTTCTATGCTGCCTATACACATAAGGCAGTAATATTCATGACTTTTTACTGCCAACCTTGGAAAGCAATGTTGGCAAATTGATTACAGACATATGGGATAAAACATAATTAATTGATTCAGTTCCTAGTCTATATACAAAATTGCTTAATGCTAAAACTCCTCTAGTTTCTGCCCTATTGCTTCTTCCATTTCTCATTCCAACTTTAAGAGTTTAAGGTTTGTCTCTTCTCTCTCATCTCCCATTTAATTATCAGCTATTGAACTTTTTCTTCATGACATTACTAGATCCCTTTGTGTCCCGTCCACCGATGATCTCCATATTGATATAGCTGATGTACATGCTTTAATTTTTTGATAACGGACATTTTTGCAATATTTAACATAATATACCACCTCACTCCCACCCCACCCTCCAGAAGCTCTCTGTTCCCTTGGCTTATAGTACATATAATTCTTTTGGTTCCTTCAGAATTTTAGATCCTGTATTTTCAACTTCTTTGGTTCATTCTTCTTCTTTCATGCTGACACTGACAGTGCTCTCAAGGCTCTTTCCATGGCTGCATTCTGACTTGCATTTAGTCCCAGTCACTGAGAGATATTTTGAAGTTCTGTTTTTATTTGGGCCACCTCACCCTGAAGAGTAAGTACTTTTCATTGTTGTAGCTGAGGTGGTGTGCCTTTTTCAAACGTCTACGTCCCACAGCATCTTCGAGATATTGATAACATAAAAACAAATATCGATCATCCTAAGGGCCTTACAGACTTCAGAGATGGGTAAAAGAAACCACTTCCACCTTCAAATCAGTCTTTTGTATCCACTAGGGGAGCAAAATGACCTGCTGAGTTGAAGTGGGAATAACAAAGTATCTCAAAGATGATGTGATGTTTGTAGAGAAAAGTTTGTGGCAGTAATCGATACAGGAATCACTTATATGGATCTGTGTTACTTGGAGGGGGCTTTAGAAATGGCATCAAGAAGAAAAAAAGCAATGCTTCTTGGTTTAAAAAATAATGCTTTTATCATTGAAAAATAGTACCTTTTAAGATGGCCAAATCCCCAAAATAAAAATTCAAAGCATATTGTACTTCCTTCTGAGGCCAAATGCATCAGAACTAATGCTCTTTTGAGAAAACCATGCTATTTAAGCAAAAATTTAGGGAGTGGAGAGTCCGATTATTGTTTTTCATGAGTGTTGAAGTCTATGGAAACAATGAAGGAATGTACAGAAAGTAAATTAGATAAAGATTTGATTTATAAAAATTGTCCAGGTTTAGAAATTTTTATATATCCAAACAGAAGTCATGAATTAGGTTTCCCCAGGCTGTGAACTAGACTAAGGTGGCATGTACCCTCACATTCCAAAGCTGAGTGCCCTCTCTGTCCGTGTCACCCAGTTACCCTCCTTGGGTGACATAAGAGAAGCCCAACAATTCCTGGGGGTGTCTCAGAGTCCAGCAGGAAAGATTTATTTGCAGAGTTGAGATGTCAGCATATTCCGTCTGCCCACAACCATCATCACCATCATGGGAGTGGACTATCGCTGTTTAGTTTCAAGGGAAAGAAACATGGATGTGTGGAATGAAGCCAGCCATGAGCAACCTTTAAAGGCACCCACCCAGGGGCCATCAAGGCAAGAGTGAGGAGGAGTGTGAACTGTGCAGAAACAGAGGGGAGTTGTCAGTGGCTGGGTGCACATGGCATTCCAGTTTCTGCACTTATTTATTGGTTATAAATAACGCTTCAGAAACACCGAGAAGTCCTAGACTATTCACTCTAATTTTAAAAGAATACTGGGCCATTATAAGGGAAGATTTTCCCCTTGACTACTTTTGAGATGCCAGGAGTTGGCCATTAATTGCTAGATATGAAAACACATGGAAATGGCAAAGAGGCTACACATCAAGCATTCCCTCTACTAATCATGCAAATGAGTCATGATGTACAAAATGTAAGGAACTCCTGTTTAGGGAAAATATGAATGTAGATGCACAAAGTAAAATGTATGTAGTCCAAATTAGTCTTCTAGCCAGTAAGGCAATTTTCCTATATGATAAAAAGAATGGATTTTTATATCATTTAAAGGAAATACATTGAAATTATTTTAGAATTTAAAAAATGTAAACATGCATCTTTCCTTCTTAAACTCTAGAGTATCGGAGATTTGATCTGTTTTTTTCTAGCTCAGCTATTAACTGGTTGAATACCTTAGTCTAGGCATTGTTTTATTCCTAGTCTATTACCTCTGAAAAATGAGGGTAGTAATTAGATTATCTCCCAAAATATTACTGTTCTAATTGCATGTGGGGAAATTGCGTAGAACTACAAAGTCTTGTCATACAACCTACATTAACTGGTTGAGTACCTTAGTCTAGACACTGTTTTATTCCTAGTCTATTACCTCTGAAAAATGAGGGTAATAATTAGATTATCTCCCAGAAATTTACTGTTCTAATTGCATGTGGGGAGACTGTGTAGGACTACAAAGTCTTGTCCTCAAAGGGCTCACACTGCATATCTACGTGAAGAAATATTGGCCCAGATAAACTAACCAACTTACTTTTACATAGAGACAGAGCCAAGGTAGGGTTTGCCTTTGCAAATCTAAGTCTTGTACCCCTTTCACCACGTTAATGAGATATGGATCTTCTAATTAAATATTAATTTCTAAAGAAATAATAAGCCCCAATTACAGAAAAAAAAAGATACTAAAAATATTTCAAGAGCATTCAAGGAGCTTCAATACAAGAAAGGCTTGTTGTTGGGTTTTTTTCATCTCTCTCCATTGATAGTTAAGTACATACGGGTAGCTATTTTAGAGCTGCGCCTAGTTAACGTCTATGTTTATTCATGTATTTATTCAATCATGAAACACGTGGAGCCGGCCACTTTTATTTGAATCCACTTTAAATAAACACTTTTGTGTTGATTGTACAAAGTTCCATGAAACAATATATCTGCCCTCAGGGAACTTGCTTTCCAGAAAGGCAAATCAAAGAAAAACGTTTTGCAAAGAATCCCGAAATGGTTACAAGGGCTTTCTAAGAGAAGTCTAAATTGAACAGATAATTGTCTCACATTTTGTAAAAGGCCTAGACTATTCTCACTGAAAAGCAGTAATTGAATCTGTAATTACTTTCATTTCACTGGGGACATAGGCATGGATTCTAAAGATCTCATTGTCATGGTTGTTTTCTTAATCACTCTCATTGCTTCCTAGCAACACTAGCTTCCTTCCTTCCATGCAGGAAAGCTCAACAGTCAATGGTGGGCAAGGACACTATGAGAAACATTTAATGGCACCCACCCAAGGCCCATCAAGGCAAGAGTGAGGAGGGGTGTGAACAGAGGGACCTGCCGCTTATTTGCCTTTCTGATGATCCAGCCCCTGTTTGTTTTATGAACAAAGGCTTTAACTTCTGACATAGAAGCGATTTTTGAAAATGAACGTAAAGGAACTGGCAAACTCAGCCCATGGGTTTCCCTTTTAAGAACATGAAATCACCTCCTCATAATCATTTCAGTGATGCCAGGAACGTTCCTCTCTCTCTCCCATTCACCCTCCACCATTCACAGAGATTTGATTTCTAGAATTTTGTCAAAAGACAAAATTGCACAAAAAATTAAAGATCTAATTGGCTTTTATTAGCAATTCTCAAATTGGGCAACACCCCACTCTATAAACTGGAATAGCTGTCCCAGTGCCCTGAGTAGAGGAGATTGGCTTTATAGGCAGAAAAGGTCTGAAGAAAGCAGAAACAAGGAATAAAAAGTGGATTGGTCATTTCAAAGTTACTTTCCTTGTAGGGTTAAAACAGGGGGATCTCTTATCATGCCAGCTCAGGCAAACTGGTCTCCTTCTCTCTTTTTGGTTTTGACAAAATGTCTTGCTCTATATGGTGGTATGATCTCAGCTCACTGAAGCCTCGACTTCCTAGGCTCAAGCAATCCTCCCACCTCAGCCTCTTGAGTAGCTGGGACGACAGGCATGTGCCACCATGCCCAGCTAATTTTTAGTATTTTTGGTAGAGACAGGGTTTCGCCATATTGCCCAGGCTGGTCTTGAACTCCTGAGCTCAAGTGATCCTCCCATCTTGATCTCCCAAAGTGCTGGGATTAAGGGATGAGCCCCCACGCCCAGCCAAACTGGGCCCCTTCTGATTGATGACTATGACTCTCCTGTTATTTGGAAAACTGGTGGCTTTCAAAGTTCACGTTAGTTATGTGGCACCTAGCACAAGTGATTGCATGTTGGTTTGGTCTGAGTTGTTGGGACCTACTGCAGGGCCTACTCCAAAACAATGGCCTCCCATAAACCCTGTATGACAGTCTCATTAAGGCATTGCTTCTACTTAACTGGTTTGTTAAGTGGGAGGTTTAAGGTTTGTCACCTTTTTCTCTGAGAGCAGGTTTTAGTAGAGACTTGGACAGAGGGCATGTAGCAGAGAGGATACAGAAAGATGGAGCTGAGAACAAAATAAATACAATAAACTAAAAATTCGCCATACTTTTAAAAATATTTAACAAAAACTAACTTTGGCTTGAGTTATAGGTTTCCTCTCCTGTTTTATGTGCATTAGATACACACTTTTAACAATTAGATAGTTTTTGGTATTAACCATGAAGTAGCATCTTATTTCTGGGTAAAGTCTGTCTATTTTTTTAAGTTGTTTTAAACTTTTAAAACATTTTTTAGTTATGAATTTATTTTATTTTATTTTATTTTATTTATTTTATTTTATTTTTGAGACAGGGTTCTGTCACCCAGGCTGGAGTGCGGTGGTGTAACCTTGGCTTGCTGCAGCCTCAACCTCCTGGGCTCAAGCAATCCTCCCACCTCAGCCTCCCAAGTAGCTGGGAGTATTGATGTACACCACCATGCCTGGCTAATTTTAAAATTTTTTATAGAGACAGGGTCTCACCATTTTGCCCAAGATAGTCTTGAATTCCCACCTCAGCCTCCCAAAGTGCTGGGATTACAAGCATGAGACACCATGCCTGGATGTGAATTTTTATTTAAGAGATAGAAAGAATAAGAACAACCCAAAGATTATTTAATAGAAATAACTAGACATTAATCAAAAATCTTTAGTGTAAGCCATTAGTAAAATAACTTTCCAGGAAAATTCTTATAGGTTTTTACCTTTTGACCTACTTTTTCTAAACACTTGCTATGGAAAAAGTACAGTGTATTTGAGGATGATTGTTAGGAGGCAGAAAAGGTGGAGAAAAGAGAGGCTGGGCTCAGTGGCTCATGCCTATAATCCCAGCACTTTGGGAGGTCAAGGTGCGCAGATCACTTAAGTCAGGAGTTCAAGATCAACCTGGCCAACATGGTGAAACCCCATTTAAAAACAAAAAAAGATGGAGAAAAGAGATACAAAGATTTAGAGGTAAAGTGAACTTAATTGTCTGAACAAGAAATCAAACAAAAGACTCCAAAAAGTTTAGAAGCCATCCTTGAGATGCAGATTTAATGCTAAAAATGTTGGCATTTTCAGAATATTACAATGATGAATGTTGACAGTCAAACAGAATTTTATTGTTAAGCTTGTCCTGGAAAAACCAAGAATGTTTGATTGTCTGTGATTGAGACACAGTCCCTAAATCTAGTTTGGAAAAGTGACAGATGTTTCAGGTTGGGATACAAAAGACAAATTCTAAATAAGGAATGAAGGAGAGAAGGAAACATGGAGGAAATTGGTGGGACATTCTGTGCCATTTAAATATCTTGACTCTTGTTAATGAATGTCTATATAGAGGTCAAAGGTGAGGAAAACAGACAAATCATGGGTATCTAAGAAAGGTGTGTTTTCTATCCAGGAAGAAAGGTCAATGGAATACATAAATATAGTGATATAAACTTTAAAGGTAGGAAAAGCCCTTAAAAACAGAGTCAGTAAAGATTTTGTAGTCCCTGGTTCATAGTCACAAAGTAGAAGACACCAAAGCCAGGAAATACACCACTTTGTAGTTCATTACCCTGCTACTTCTAGTGAGATGTGTGCAAAACACTTGTCAGACCTTATTGCCAATTGGCATTTGAGACTATCTACAGTTCTTTTTTTTAATAACCTCATTGAAGTATAATTTAAATACCATAATATTCATCGATTTTAACTGTACATTAACTGTACAAGTGTACAGGTTTTTTTAGTAAATTTTTAGAAAATTCATTGAGTTGTGCAACAAATCAACACAATCCCAACTTAGGACATCAACATTATCCCTATACGATTCCCGGTTACCATGAATTTCTGTTTCTACTCCCAGCCCGACAACCACTAATCTCCTTTCTGTCCTGGTAGATTTCCTTTTTCATATCAGTAAAATTAGAATATGTGATTTTTTTGTGTGTCTGGCTTCTTTCACTTAGCATAAGGTTTTTGAGGTTTGTTCATGTTGCAACATGTATTCAGATTTCATTCCTCTTTATTGTCTAATAATATTTCATTGTATGTATTACCATACTTTTATCCATTCACTAGTTGATGGGCACTTGCGTGATTTCCACTTTGGGCCTCTTATGACTAAATCTGCTATAAACATCTACCTAAAAGGCTTTGTGTGAACATATGCTTTCATGTCTCTTGTATAGATATCCAGAAGTAGAATTCTTGAGTCATATGGTGTGTCTATGTTTAACTTTTTAAGAAACTGCCAAACTGTTTTCAAAAATGACTGGGCACAGTGTCACTTTAGTGTAATCCAAGCTACTTGGGAGCTGAGACAGGAGAATCATGACTTTACAGCCCACCCCCCGAGCAATGTGTGATGATTCCAGTTTCTCCAAATCCTTGTCAACACATGTTATTGCCTCTCCTTTTGATTATAGCTATCTTGGTAGTGTGAAGTAGCATCTCAATGTAGTTTTAGTTACATTTGCCTAAGGAATGATAGTATTAGGCTTCTTCTCATGTGTTTATGTTGTATTTGTACTTATATCTATGAGATATCTTCTGTAGCTATAACTTTGACTTCCTGAATTCTGTCCAGAAATTTCTAGTTTGGGTGATGCTGTGATGGAAATGCATGAAAGTATGCAGAGTAAACATTTTTTAAGGGTTACTAAATAATCCTGAAACTTCACAAAAGAGAAGTCCATCTACTCTGCTAGAATTACTGTATAGGAAAACTCAGTGTAATCATTTTCATAATATTTGGTAGAAGAGCAGGCTTATTGTAAAAACTGGGGATGTTTATTTTTCTTTAGGGCTTCATTTTTCTACTTTTTCATTAAGCTAAGGATAAGATTAAACTGCCTGGAGGCTTCTTTGCTTTCTCAGCACAATAAAAAAGTCAAGGAAAGACAGCAAAGCAAGACAGAATTCTTCAGAAAAACAATACTGAAGGGAAATAACAGTAACACCAGGTTAGAGAAACAAAATCCATAGAATCAAGCTTTACTTGAGTAACAATGCTGATGGAAATAGCATGTAAGAGTCTTAGTTCAGGGCCTATTGGAAATGGATGATAGAATTTTTCCAATGTACAAGCCCACTAACAGATATAATTAGCTTATTATGCTAACATGATAAATAGTTACTGAATATCTCCCTAAATTAGATTGACCTCAATCTGTAAGGATCGTAACTTTCAACAAAGGCTCGTTTTGCTTGCAAAAAGATTCACACAAGATGCTCAGATGGACAACATAAAGGTATTTCAGAGGACCCCTCTCCAGAAACCAAATTGGTTGTGGAGGCTAGGCACAGTGGTTCACACCGTGAAGCCAGGAGTTTGGGACCACTCTGGGCACAAAAGCAAAAGCAAGACCTGTCTCTACAAAAAAAACATTTAAAACAGTGGGCGTGGTGGCATGCACCTGTACTCCCAACTACTCAGGAGGCTGAGGCAGGAGGATCACTTGAATCCAGGTTGAGCCTACAGTGAGCTATGATTGCACCACTGCACTCTGGCCTGGGCAACAGAGCAAGACCCTGTCTCTAAAATTAAAAAAAAAAAAAAAAAAAAAGTAGGTTGTGCTGTAGGATCACAAAAACTTTGTGCTGGTTAAACCACTTTACTGCCTTTCATGAATTAGTTTCCACAACTAATGTAGAGTCCGCTTCTTTGAGAGTTTCACATGCCATTGCTTGTGGCTTTCCATTCTCTGGATCCCTGTTTAGATCTTTGGTCAAAAGTGACCAAGGAGGCATCTTTATACTATTTTCTCCTTTTATTATTTTCTCAGCTGACAATTCTTTCCCTCTTTTGTTGATTGGGTAAGGAATATCTGAGTGTTATTACTACTAGCTATACGGCAACCTTTTATAAACTTCAATATAGCATTACAAACATTGGTTGATTTGGGCATGAGGTAGTTCTAGAATTCTTTTTTGCTTAGTATGGTATATTGATAGATTAGGGGTAAATGTGAATAAAACATTGCAGATATCTTTGAATTTATGACTTACAAGTAACCTCAATATTTCAGCCTAGCTAAAGACATCTTTAAAAGGTAATTTTCACCTCATCTATAAATGAGAGTTAAAAGGAAAATTCTTTTAATTTACATAGTGGTGTTTTGGCTTATATTCTGTTTTGGTTTTTCCCCTTTTTAAGACGAAAAGTCCAAGGAGGGGATCCAGATAGTGTGAATCTGAATCCAGACTGCCACTGGTAAACTTTGTCTAGCTAAATTCTCTGATTCTCATTCTTCTCATCAGTAAAATGAGAATAATGTACATTATCTCACTTAATGATTATTATTCTCACTTAATGAATCATGATATTAAATTTTCAGTATCATTGACCAATAATGCAAACATTTTCATAAAACGTGGCTTATAAATTTCTATCATCCCTGATGTTAATCAGTTTTTCTTGCAAAATAATTAAGTAATGCCTGCTTTTAGTATTAAAAATTTTTTTAAGTTCAAAACCTACTAAAAGTCTACATTTATAAAATTATTACAAACACTTAAAAATTATATTTCCAAATTATGAGAGTGTGTAGATATGTGAATTCCTATAAGGTTATACACATATCAATTTGGGCAATACAATTACATAATAATTGGAATATTTCCAAACACTTGTTTTAAAAATGCTTTCTCCTAGCACTAGTTTCATAAGAAGGTAGTACACTGTCACTCATCATATATAAACCAACATTACTGGCTGGGTGTAGTGGCTCACACCTGTAATCCCAGCACTTTGGGAGGCTGAGGTGGGCAGATCCCCTGAGGTCAGGAGGGCAGATCATCTGAGGCCAGCACCAGCCTGGCCAACATGGTAAAACCCTGTCTCTACTAAAAATACAAAAATTAGTCAGGTGTGGTGGTGGGCACCTGTAATCCCAGCTACTAGGGAAGCTGAGGCAGGAGAATTGCTTGAACCCAGGAGGTGGAGGTTGCAGTGAGTCGAGATCGTGCCATTGCACTCCAGCCTGGGCAACAAGAGCAAAACTCCATCTCAAAAAGAAAATAATAATAATAATAAAATAAACCAACATTACCAAGTGCTGACAATGATCTTGAGCAACCTGAATTTTCATACATCCCTGGTAGAAATGTAAATTGGTACATGCTTTTGGGAAAACTGCTTGAAATTATCCACTAAAATTAAACATGTGTACTTTATGACCCAGCATTTCTACTTTTAGGTAAATGCTTGACATAAATGAAGGCTAATAAGTAACACATCTATAAGAACATTCATAGCAGCTTTATTCATAATAGCCAAACACTGGAAACATCCAAATGACAATAGAATATTCATTCTTATTGTTGTATTATATTTTATTTATATAATACAATCTTTTGTATTATATAATACAAATACATGCAACATGTATTATACAATTTTTTGTATTACATATAATACAATTTTTTGTATTACGTATAATACAATTTTTTGTATTATGTATAATACAATTTTTTGTATTACGTATAATACAATTTTTTTGTATTATGTATAATATTTTTTGTATTATATATACTATTTTTTGTATCATCTAAATAAATATTTAAAGTTGGGTAGAAGGAGCTAGGCACAAAGGAATGCATAGTGATTCCATGCACATAAAGGTCAAGAACAGGCAAAGCTCATCTATGATGACAGTAGACAAATTTATGGTTACTTCTGATGGAGTGTACTGATTGGGAAGGGCATGGGGGGTGCTTCTAGGGTGCTGGAGCTGTTCTAAATCATTATGTGGGTCATGGTTGTACAGGGGTGTGTGTGTGTGTGTAAAATTCATTGAACTGTACCTTTCAGATTTTCATGATCATTATTCATTTCATTACAGAATGTCATAGAGATTCCACCATTTAAAGACCTTGTTTTTATAAAATTACCCATACTATCTTATAGATGCTGGAAGGGTTAAACAATGAGAGTAGCCACAAGTAGCAGAGCACCTTCTCTTCCTACAGGATAGATCTCACTTGTACCAAAGCTGACATATGACTGCCTGCTATGTAATGCACAGTAAATTTAAAAATTTATTATTAATTAAATTTATTTCTCACTGTTACAATAAATAAATTGAAGTGTAGATGGTTTCTGTCCTCTTGCATGTTTCTTTGCATTTATTCTCAGTACATATTTTTGCCCCCTCTTTGGTCCCTTCCCAAACCCCTTGCTCAACTTTGGAAACTTGATTGAGTTACACAACAGTTGCCTACCATGATAGTCAGTGGGATATTTGCTCAATAAATTTCTAAAGCAAAAATGGACAATTATGCCCCATTATGAGTTAGAATTGGCAAACTCTATAAAGGACCACATAATATACATTTTAGACTTTGGGGGGGTCTTATGTCTCTGCCATAGCTTCTTACCTCTGTAGTTGCATCATACATAGACAATACATTTTTTTAAATGGCTGTATTTCAATAAAACTTTTTTATGAACACTGAATTTTATAGCATCACAAAATATTTTTTCATCTTTTTTAAAACCATTTAAATTGTGAAAATTATTCTTAGCTAGCTTTTGAGCCATACAAAAAGAAGTGATGGGCAGAATTTGGGTCTCAGGACTTAGTTTGCAGAGCTCTGATTTAGAGTCATGTAATTTTAAGTAATAACTTGAATCTCAACCTTCAGTTCCATCATTTCTAGTAGGTTATCAAATTACCATATGCTGTTAGAGAGTGCTTTTATTTATTGTTCCTTTAAGAAGCACTAAATATTAAGTTTAATATCAAAGGCTTTGTTTCCTCTTTGGCATGATTGTAATTCATAAGACTTCTAATAAAAGAGGGTGGGTTTGTAAAAAATTCCACAGATATTTGAGGCCTAGTCATTAGTAGCTACAGTGTCAATAAGAATCACAGTACTTTTCTGCATTATCTTAATTCTGATTTGATAAATAATTATTTTTTAAAAACCCTTCATTTTGAAAACAATGAAATAACTAAGGCAGTATATAATGCATTTATTTGAGGCCAACTGGCCAAGTTCTGTGACTCCTTCCTGGGTTTCTATGGGTCCTGACACATGAGGAAACAAATATTCACTGACATTCAAGAAGGTCAGAGGTACAAGTAACTGCTCCACACTGCATAGCATTTTCAAGACAGGCCTCCAAGTTGGTTCCTCTCCATTCCCTGCACTATTTGCTAAGAGACATGAATGATAAATCTTTACATCATTGAACTGTCTGTCTCATTCTCCTGTCATCCAAAAATCAGGGTGGGATTTTTCTGATGAGTTCTATGTGCAATTTCAAAATTGTTATTTCTATTCAGACTGAATAGTAAAAAATCATCTGAAAGGGTAAATTTGAGGAATGACATCACACTGCTTTGTGCCTCCCACCCATTCACTCCCAAATGAGGGATCCCTCAGCCACAGCAGCAGAAAAAGAGGACAAAAGGCCACTGATTTTCCATGAAGGTGAAATCTGTGCTGCACGGGCTCCAAAACTCACTGCACATAACTCATCTTAAGCCCATCTCCAGGAACCCCTCCTGGGTTTCTATGCTCCATTCTAGAGTCAGTACTTTGCAACTAGCCTTGTCTTTCCTCCTTTAGGATGGATACAGGGTAGACTTGGGAGACCTGAAACAAGATAAATATAGAGTCAACAGAAGAACAAACTCAGGAGGAAAGCCAACTGGGCTCAAATCTCGGCTCCACTCTTCATTGTAGATGGAAATAGACACTTATTGAATACCTGTTCTGTGCTGGAAACTTCACATAAACTGTTCCAGTTGTTAAACTAAACAAGAAGAGAGGAAGGAACAAAAGGTGTCCCTTATTTAACTCATGTACAATAGGGAAGAAAACTTCTGAAGGAACTGCTTCAAATAGGGTTTTGTTTCACATATTATTCAAGCGACCAGGTTGACTTTGTTGAACTTCTGATTCCATGACAACAGCAAACTCTGCATGTGTGCTCAGGGTTTGACATGCTGTGGTGTACTCTCTACCTAAAAGAGTACGCAGCATAATGGTTGTGAATCTCTGGAAATCAGGGTGTCGCTTCTGTTTTCCAGAAGATGAAGATGCCAGAAGGGCTTCTGAGCAATGTGCTATGAGACCACCTATGGAAGAGAGAGAACAACTCTTTAACTGTGGCTTTACTTAGTAAACTTCCAAACGATTACTGAAATGTCATCATTAGACAACGTAAGCAACTAGCAGAAAATTCATATGTCTAATGCAGCCTCCTCATTCTTTTTCTGTCTTTCCCTGTGATCCAGGAGGAAGGATGCTGGTTTCTTATCATACAAAGATCACCTGCCAGTGAGCCAAGTGGTGGTTGGAGATACTGACCGTCAAGGCTCAGAAGCCAAATTGAGCGTAGGTCCTCTGCGCTGCCAAGGAGACAGTAAGTTTGCATAGCAGCTATGGCTTGCACTTTCTTATCCCATTTAAATATTGTTTCCAGGCTCCTCAGAAGATGCCTGCAATCAGACTTGCTCTCCTGTAGCTCCTACAGAAACATCACACAACCCAAGCAGAGATAACTTAGAGGAGGGGAACAGCCATAAAGCCTCCAGTACAGGAGCCGAGATTTGGGCATAAAGTGGGGATATCCATCTTTCCTCTATATTCATATGTAACAAGTTTGACTACCTAAGTTTATGATGATATTAATAGCAATGCTAATAGCATAAATGCAGTACTCAACAGCTGTGATTCCACGGAGTGCTGCTGTTAATGCCATTAGGATGACTATTTATATCACCATAAACCGAGTTTATGGTGATATAAATAGTAGCATTATGGCTTAATGTATCATTGTAAACTTGGATTATGGCCATATAAAGTTTGACATTATTGCTATCAAACTTCATCATCATCAGAGCTTGATGGTCCCTTGTAAGCCAAAGATTGTTTCTGTTAACTATGTCTTGCTTTCAAGATTAGTCACCCCAGAGAGGAATTTGGGGCTGCTAGCTTGGACAGTGGGAGGTAAGGGAGTTGGAGTGATGGTCCCTCCTAATTAAGGGCACCATTAGGATTTTATGTTGTTTGATACCCTTCGGTGTGCTTTATGTGCAGTCAGAGGGAAACAGTGACATGGTTGCACTGTGGGGATTCTGCAGCGAGCATCCTGGGCATCGTTTTCTCTCTTCTTTCTGGGACACGTGGTTTAGGCAACTCTCCTGAGAGTTCTATGCTTTTGTGATTGTGTGCTAGGCATCCGGAGACCTAGATTCTGCTCCCCAAATAGCTGACTTGCCAGGAGACCTCAGGCAAACCCCTCCATTGTCTTAGCTGTGGTAATGAGAATACCACACACATCCCAATTCCTCCTGGGGAGGCTGTGAATATTTTAGTGCCTGGATTTGGATTCCTCCTAGCAAAGCATTATGTGAGATGGAATATTATTACCACTTTGTAAATCAAGGGAGAATTAGACCTACTTGATAATAAATTATAGCGTCCACTCAAAGAGATGTCCTAAGGAACGTAATGATGCATGCTTAACAGTTTCCTACTTAGTAAATTGAGGTTGTCAGCAATTAAGCAATGCCATGTTCCTAATACAAAAGGGAGATGGACTTTGTACTGATTTTTCTCTACTTACATTGAAAATGCTACCTGTAAAATTGAGACTGGTCAAGATCTTTATCACGCACTTATTGAACAATAATACTTCATTTGTTTAGTCAGGCTTAGTAAAACTGTGCAGAAGAAATTTAATTTCAACTGCCTAAGAAAAGGATATTCACCTAAAGCAATAGTATATATGCATTTTAAACAAATATTATAAGAAATGAAATACAGTGTTGCTCTAAAATTAGGAAGACTGTCATGTGTTGTCTAATGAAAATCATTTTTGTTATGGAATAATTACTCATTAGCATATAAAGGTAAAATATTTCTGGCTTACCGATTCTAATTCTGAAGTTAGCTTTGAATTTGAGAAAGTGTTCCCATTAAATAATTGATTAACTTAATATATTTATAAAAATTCCACTTCTGCAAACTTTTTTTCTTGTCTGTTTTGTTTTGCTTTATTTTCTTTTTTTGAGACGGAGTCTTGCTCTGTCGCCCAGGCTGGAGTACAGCGGTACGATCTCAGCTCACTGCAACCTCCGCCTCCCAGGTTCAAGTGATTCTCCAGCCTCAGCCTCCCAAGTAGCTGGGATTACAAGCACACGCCACCATGCCCGACTGATTTTTGCACTTTTAGTAGAGACGGGGTTTCACCATGTTGGACAGACTGGTCTCGAACTCCTGACCCCGGGTGATCCACACGCCTCGGCCTCCCAAAGTGCTGGGATTACAGGTGTGAGCCACTGTGCCCAGCCTTCTGCAAACTTTTATTACCATTCTTAAAAAAAAGATTCTAGGAACATTAAATAGTAGATGCTGCAGTATATGAGCACTTTATAATTAATATTAGCTTATTTGTTCTTAATAAATCAGCCTCAGGAAGAATTTATTGTGAGGCTGTCATTCATCTAGAACTTTCCTAGGTGCTCTGGAAAGTAAGAAAAAGAAGTTCAAACCATGTTATGTGAAATGAACATGAAAAAATATTGGAAAACACAAATTGGCTTATAATTTAATTTTAGGCTTTGTAATATAAAATTATTGCAACTGATAATCAAGAAAGGAGCCATAGAAGGTGTATTTCAGGCAGACTTTCTTTTTAAAAAAGAGAAAATGAGAAAAGTATAGTGGTCATTGTTCATTTGCATTTCTATTCTAGGGCTGTTGTTCTTAGAAACATTTTTAGAACCTATTATCAAAATAAACTTATTTATTCACATTACATGATCTCAGTATACTTATAATTACTGTAACTTCAGAGAAACTCTTTTAAATAATATTTTACCTGATATTTCATGAAAGCAAAAGCAGTCAACAGTTAATGGCAATTATGTAGAATACTTTTGTGTCTGTGTGAGAGAGAGAAATCTCATTGTTTTCCAGGCAACCGAGAATAAGTATCCTACCTGGTACTCGAATTGCCTGGTAGCAGTCAGCAGTTGTGAAGCCCATGTTCCCTTTAAGAATGTTCTCACGGCCGGGCGCGGTGGCTCACACCTGTAATCCCAGCACTTTGGGAGGCCGAGGCGGGCGGATCACGAGGTCAGGAGATCGAGACCATCCTGGCTAACGCGGTGAAACCCCGTCTCTACTAAAAATACAAAAAAAAAAAAATTAGCCGGGCGTGGTGGCGGGCACCTGTAGTCCCAGCTACTCGGGAGGCTGAGGCAGGAGAATGGTGTGAACCTGGGAGGCGGAGCTTGCAGTGAGCAGAGATTGTGCCACTGCACTCCGGCCTGGGTGACAGAGCAAGACTCCATCTTAACAAAAAAAAAAAAAAAAAAAAAAAGAATGTTCTCACATGGACACAGTAGTGATAGAGTGTTCCGTATCAACTGCATTTTCCAGTTTTTATACATATGTGATCTCCCTGGTTACACACAGCCTCCTGTGAATTGGGCAGGGCAAATATTAGTCTTTCTGCCTTACAAATGAAGAAAATACTTCTTTGAAAATGGCATTTACACAGCAAATTTCTGAGCATACTTTCAGCCTCTGAGAGGCTTCAGGACAAAAGATGGAACAGAGAATAGAAATAGCTGTGTCTGTACAAGGTCAGAGTTGTTTTCCCAACTGTACTCTCATCCCTGAGCCAATTGTTGATTAAATTAAAATGCCTTAAAATGTTTCATTTGGGTTTTATCCCACCACTAGCCTCAGCCACACATGTCAGTTACCAACATAGTACAAACATTATAGGGATTACATTTATGTAATTTAAAAAGTGGCATAGTGCATTTTTCCTGCTGTTTATAGAGATGAACTTACTTTGTGTCATTTACTGAAGTCTGTTCAAACCTACAGCTTATAAAGACTAAACCTATTGTTGAAAAATATCTTTCAGTTTGAGGAGTTGAGTGATGACAGCCCTCAGAACCTGCCTCTTGAATTAGGCCCCAGTTCCATCCTCTAGTCTCAGAGAATGAAACCATTTTTGTGGGCTCTGCCCAACCATTTCAGCAGTTTTGGTTGATTTCATCATGCCTGCTGAGTTTCATTTTTGCTTTGATTCGTCTGAACTCAGACCCATATAATCAAAATGCTAAAGAAAATCAGTGCATGCCACTCAGATCTGCTGCATTTCCCATATAGTTCTGTGAAATGCTTATGTCCTTACAGGTGTGTGTGTGTGTGTGTGTGTGTGTGTGTGGTTTTTTTTTTCTTTCATTCTTTCTTTTTTGCAAAGCCTATCCAAATGGAAACTTCAAATCAAATGACACTGAAAGTATGAGTGGTGACGGATGGTTCGCTGAAATAAAAAGTGCTGTGAAAATACAAATCCCCCTCTTAAACTACACGTACGCACCTAGAAAGAAACAAAAGAACCATTTGGAAGATTAAAAATCAATGATCAGGTAGACATTGTTTCAAATTGAAATATGTAATCATCTTTGCAGATGGCTGCCAAACTTTCATACTTTCATGAAATTAGTTAAAAAAATAAAAGACTTCCACTTTTTGGAGGTAGAAATCTCATACTATATATGACGAATATAATTAATTGTAGGAATATAGTATTTGCTAGACAATTGCTTTATTTTCAGCCATATGATGTAAAACTTTACTGTACTCCTCTAGGGATACGGGGACTGTAAATAAATACTTTGGAGCAAGTTTGTCAGAACCATAGGAAAGGTTTAAAAAAAAATCAAATGTTTTCAGTAAACCTGGGTAGAAACAATTCCAGAAAATGTCTTATTCAAGGGCTTCTTCCAAGGCCATGCCAGAAACACTGGCTGTGAAGCTGGCAGACAGAGCACTGGAGTCACACTGCAGGATTAAGATGCAAATTCAGTTTCTCAGAGCTACGGAGGTGACCCAGAGAGACAAGGAAGGAAAGGCAAGGCAGTAGTGACACATCTAGTTCTGGAACACTCAGAGGACAGACAAAGCTGTGTGTAAACAAATAAAGATACTGATGGAGATTCATCAAGATGATGGTGAATATTTGTTCTTTGGGAAAGTTATTTTATGTGCCAGACTAATAGGAAGGCCATTATCTTTTTTTTGCAAGAATTTTACAAACCAGGATCATAACCTGCCATTCCCTTGACAGGAGAGATAAGATGGCCAGGCATGGTGGCTCACACCTGTAATCCCAGCACTTTGGGAAGCCGAGGCAGGCAGATCACTTGAGGTCAGGAGTTCGAGGACAGCCTGGCCAACATGGTGAAGCCCTGTCTCTAATAAAAACACAAAAATTAGCAGGGTGTGCTGGTGGCCGCCTGTAATCCCAGCTACTCAGGAGGCTGAGGCAGGAGAATCATTTGAATCCGGGAGGTGGAAGTTGCAGTGAGCCAACATCGTGCTGTTGCACTTCAGCTTGGGTGACAGTGTGAGACTCCACCTCAAAAAAAAAAAAAAAAAAAGCAAAAACAGACAAGGCAATAAGGCAATGCCTCGGTCTCCACGTTGTTTCTGTACCAATGAAACATTTCCAACAGGGGCGCACATGGCAGTAACTCTCTTTCAGAAGATAATACCCACGAGCATACATAGGCCACATACTCTGTGCAGTGAATAGGGACTGAAGGAGAAACCACTTCTCATCTGGGTTCAGGAAGCAATTCTCCTTATTGAGAGGAAGCAGCTCTCCAGGCTCCAGAGAAGAGTTCAAAATTTATTTATCTCCTTTTTCTTTGCTGCTTCAGGCTTGGAAAAGGCAAGAAAGGAAAAGGGACTAGCATGCAGGTTCTAAACCAATCACTTTCGATTCATTTTCTCTCTTGATTCTCTCAACATCCCTTAATAGGTGATACTGTTGACAAAAAAAAAATAAAAATAAAAATAAATAAATAAAAAAGTACCCTGTAAAATATTTAAAGAGGTTTATTTAAGCCAAAGATGAGTGGCCATGGCCCAAGGTACAGGCTCAAGAGGTCCTCAGAACATGTGTCCAAGGGCTACAATTTGGTTTTTATATGTTTTAGAAAGACATAAGACATCAATCAATATATGTGAGGTATACATTGGTTTAGTCTAGAAGCAATGTGAGAGTGTGGCTTACAAGTCATAGGTGGATTTAAAAATGTTCTGGTTGGAGATTGGTTAAAAGAGTTAAGTTATTATCTGAAGGTCTGGAATTGATAGAAAGGAGCATCTGGGTTAAGATAAGGGGTTGTGGAGGTCAAGGTACTTATTATGTAGATGAAGTCTCCTAGGTGGCTGCCCTTAGAGACAATAGATGGCAAATGTTTCCATTTAGACCTTTAAAAGGTGCTTAGACTCTCAGTAAATTTCTTCTGGATTTTGAGGGCCTGGAAGGGGAAAGATCTAGTTATGTTGATAGAGATTATTCATAGATGTGAATTTTCCCCCACAAAAAAACTGCTTAGCAGGGTCATTTCAAAATATGGCAAAGAAACATGTTTGGGTGTGAAATCTTTTTATTTCTTCCTTTTTCTGTCATGTGATGTTATGCTAGAGTCAGGTTAAAATTTGGTATCTTATTGCTACAGTCTGTAAACTGTCATGGCCCTGGTGGAAGTATGGCAGTGAGGACAACCAGAGGTCACTCTTGTCGCCATCTTGGTTGTGGTGGGTTTTAGCCGGCTTCTTTACTGCAACCTGT
The DNA here is from genome assembly GCF_000001405.40 of Homo sapiens. Lineage (NCBI taxonomy): Eukaryota > Metazoa > Chordata > Mammalia > Primates > Hominidae > Homo > Homo sapiens. The sequence goes on from NC_000007.14 coordinate 147,984,239, forward strand.
TTTATCAGCAAGGTCTTTGTAACCTGTATCTTGTGCCAACTTCCTATCTAATCCTGTGACTTAGAACTTCTAACCACCTGGGAATGAAGTCCAGCAGGTCTTAGCCTTATTTCGAGATGGAGTTGGTGCTTAGATTTTTAGTTTTGGTTCACAGTACCTTTGACTCCAGTGTACTGATGAGGAAACAGAAACAATGTTATTAGGTGCTTTGCCAATAAGTTTCAGAGTTCAGACTGGAATCTACCTAGTTCCAAAGTCCTCCTTTCTACTCTATTCAATCAGAGCTGATGTTAGGATAAAAATGGGAAGAAAAAAAAATCTCTTATGCTCTCGGGGAGTGGCTGGGTCTAGCTGTTTGCTAATGAGGGGGTCTAGGGAAACATCCCTATTGCCCTGTGAAGGGTCACTGAAAAACCAACTCACAAGGCAGGTTAATAGAAGAAAAGGCATGCAAATTTTACTACAGGGAGAATCACAGAATGATTTCTCACCCCCCAAAGGAGTTCAGAAGCTTATATATCATCCTGGAAAAACAGGTTTTGGGAGCAGGGGAGGAGAGGAACTTCACTTTCACTGTCAAAAGGACTATTTACTGGCTGGGCGCAGTGGTTCATGCCTGTAATCCCAACACTTTGGGAGGCTGAGGCGGATGGATCACTTGAGGTCAGGAGTTTGAGACCAGCCTGGCCAACATGGTGAAACCCCATCTCTACTAAAAACACAAAAATCAGCTGCGCATGTTGGTGCGCACCTGTAATCCCAGCTGCTCAGGAGACTGAGGCATGAGAATCGCTTGAACCCAGGAGGCAGAGGTTGCAGTGAGCCGAAATCACGCCATTGTACTCCAGCCTGGGTGACAGAGCAAGACTCTGTCAAAAAATAAATAAATAAATAAATAAATAAATAAATAACTATTTACAAGTTCATCTCTGTTCCTAGATCCATTTATTCTCTCTGGTAATCCCCTCAACAGAATTCCTCTTCTCTCCACTCCCATAATCTATTTTTCCAGGATGGTAAATAAGCTTCTGAACCCCCACTGGGGGTGGGGGGTGGGGAGTGGTAATCCCTCTGGGGCTCTCCTTGGTTCTCCACATGTACATGTTAAATCAATATGTATGCCTTTTCTCCATTTAATCTGACTCTTGGGAGTTGATTTATGTTTTTACTTTTTTTTTTTTTTTTTTTGCGAATCTTCAGAGGGCAAAGGGGAAGATTCCATTGGCTCTTACACTGGCAAGCTGTGTCTTCTAACTTACTCTTACATGAAGGGCTGGTTCTGAAAGCAGAGATAAAAAAAGGATAGGTGACAAAAACTGCTCCCAGTCCCATGCTTAGTGGAGAAAAGATCCCCCTTGATTTTGCACCCCTCTTTTTGACAAGTCATCAAACAACTGATCTTTTTCCACTTACTGCATCTATTTTGGCTCCCCTAACAGTGTACTTCTTAAAAGTAAAAACAAAATCTAATTCACTTGTATATTCTCAGTAGTATCACATGCCTAACACCTAGAAAGGATTCAACAAATGTTTGTTGAATGAGGAAGAAAAATAATACATCAGAGCAGAGGGAGAGTGATAATGCCAGGTTTGGCCTGAAACTCAGCTTCTGCCCTTAGGGCACTCATCACCCCAAGCAGAGAAATCTCAGGGCGCTGGGGCTTTGGAGTTCTCTAATGGAGCCACAGGTGCTGGGCCAACTGACTTCCTACATGAAATCTGGATTTTAGACCCTGTTTTCCTAGACCCCTCATTTCCTGCTTGGGTACAGCTCTTGCCTCTGCCTTTTCTTTTTTAAAGTTTTCATTACACTGTGTACTGATTTCTGGCTCACTTTGCTTCCCTACTATTGTTCTGAAAGCTTATCTCTGATTCAGCCCCACCCAGAAAAGAGAGGTTGCCTCAGGCAATCTATGTAGGATGATAATAGGTGTATTACCAGCATAGAGGACCACTTTCTCTCTGTCTCTCCATTCCTGCCCTGGCCATTAATTATAATACATTCGATTTACTTGGGTTTGGTCTTCAGCCCTCATGCTTTTGCAACATCATGATGGGCTCATACATGATTTTTAAAAAGAGCATTAACATCACAAATCTCAGAATGGGTAACGTTTGATCATTCCCAGTAACTATTTCCTGAGAAGATGCTCTAAATTGTTTTTCTTTCCCCATTTTTTCCCACAAAATGTGGCTGTATATTTTTGCCTCACGTATAGCTCAAAACAAGACCAAGAATCACAGTGTCCTAACAGTGGAAGCGTCTTAGAGATCAACCAGTGCAGAACCTCTCATTTTACAGATCAGGGGTCTGGGTCTAGAGAGGTTAAGTGACTGGCCCAAGGTCTCAGAGCTGGTATACAGCAGAGCACATCGAGAAACAGTTTAATACAGCCTTCATCCTTAGTAATTCCCCAGGGCCAAGATGAATGTTGACACCCAAAGAGGAAACTTTGACCTGGAACAATGACCTTGGGTCTCTGCCTATCAACAGCTGAGTGGGTATCAGAACTCTTAATCTTACTCCATCATGAGATCAATCATCTGGAAATCTTGATAGAAAACCTACAGCCACAGAAGTGAGGGTCAGTGGCAGAAAGTTGATGACTTCTGTTTTTTTGTTATGTTTTTTGTTTGTGTGTGTGTGTGTGTGTGTGTGTGTGGTTGGTTTTTTTTAACTTTTTAGGGTTGATAATAGAAGGCATGAAAAAAAAAACAAAAGCAAAAACGCCCTGGAGTGATGTGTAGAAATCATTAAGCTCTATTTTTTCTTAATGTCCCAGCCTTCACTGCTATTGCCATGGGCTACTAACAACTGAGAAGCAGTAGTGGGTCTAAGAACAAGCAGAAATAGTGAAATTTTCAGGATCACAACCTAGGCTGACTCCCATTAATGGATTGAGCCCACCGGGCATTTCTGAGGTCAGGTCCAATTACAAATGCTGTAGCTTTTACAAGTAGATGGAAGCCTTCCCTTTTATCTTCCAGATTCCAGAGTGACTTTAAACAATTAGAAGAAATGGACAATTCCTGCGAAGGAAATCAGCTCTTTAAGATTACTCAGTTACTCAACTTCAGCTGCAAACTCACTGTTGAAATGGGACGTAAAATTGGTTACAGTTTGGAAAAAAGTCTTTCTGTTTTACAATTGACATGATATTTGTGTGCGTGTGACTGATTTTCTTACCTGTCCTTTCAAATACCATTTGTATTTGGAGGAATCGTCACATGCCACAGAGGAATTAACGTGAATGAGCTGATGCCAGACTTGGTTCTGCAGGTCTGTGTTGTCAACAAAGAGTCAAATTCTGTAAAATATTTGAAGACATTTATTCTGAGCCAAATATGAGTGACCATGGCCCATGACACAGCCCTCAAGAAGTCCTGAGAATGTGTGCCCAAGGTGGTTGGGACACAGCTTGGTTTTATACATTTTATCTATTTTATGTTATTTTATTTTATATTTTATTTTTTGAGACAGAGTCTTGCTCTGTTGCCCAGGCTAGAGTGCAGTGGCATGACCTTGGCTCACTGCAACCTCTGCCTCCCAGGTTCAAGTGATTCTCCTGCCTCAGCCTCCCAAGTAGCTGGGACTACAGGTACATGCCACCACACCCCGCTAATTTTTTTATTTTTAGTAGAGACAGGGTTTCACCATGTTGGCCAGGCTGGCCTCGAACTCTTGACCTTAGATGATCCACCCCTCTCGGCCTCCCAAAGTGCTGGGATTACATGCATGAGCCACCACGCCTGGCAGGTTTTATACATTTTAGAGAGGTATGAGACATCAATCAAATACATTTAAGAAATACGTTGGTTTGGTCCAGAAAGGCGGGACAACTCAAAGCGGAGGGTGGTGGGGGTAGGGGTTCCAGGCTATAGGTGAATTTAAATATTTTGTGATTGACAATTTGTTGAGTTTGTCTAAAGACCTGAGACTGATAGAAATGGAATGTTCATGTTAAGATAAAAGATTGTGGATACCAAAGTTCTTTTGAAGTCTTATAGTGGATGCCCTTAGAGACAATAGATGACAAAGTTTCCTATTCAGATCTTAATCTCTTTAGGATTGGGAGGGTCTAGAAGAAAGAGATCTAGCTATGTTAATAGAGATTCTTTACAGATGCAAAATTTCCCCCACAAAGAACAGCTTTGGAGGCCCATTTCAAAATATGGCTAAGAAACATGCTTTGGGGTAAAATATTTTGATTTTCTTCCTTGTCTCATAATGTTATATGAGTCAGGTTGGAAAATAAGTCACAATATATAGGTTAAATAAAACCCATCTGATGAAAATTTATTATTTGTAGGGCATGACTCCCCACACCTCTTAGATAGGAATTTGGGCAAGACTTAAAAAAAAACAATCAGAGTTTAGTCCTCAGTGTGGCTGGATGGGTTCTGCCTCCTCCATGTCCTCTCTCTGGGTGCCTCTCCCTTCCTGAACTTGTTACTCTCTGCAGAAGAAACAGCATCCCCAGATGCAGGCGGGAGATTTCTCTGCAAATTGAATCCCCGTAATTTGGTTTCTCTGCTGAACTCTCTGACCAATCTCTCACCATTTGAAGAGAATTAGTCTTGGCCTATTGGATCTAAACATCCACAGTGTGGAGCATACTTTGGAAGTGACAGAAACACGGAGTGAAATAGAGTCTAACCTATTCCAGGATCAGCTCCTGAAAACAAATTCAACCTAAGAGACTTTATTGAGAAAAACGAGACATGGCTCTGATCCTGGATCAGTTTATGTTTCAGTGAGGGTGAAAATTTTAACAAAGTGGAGGAGATTAGGATGGAAGTTTGGATTCCTAGTGGGACTTTGAGTGGAAAGCTGAGAGGCCTCATGTAGTTGTGCTTTACAAACATTAATGTACTTAGAAACCACCTGAGATCTTGTTAAAATGCAGATTCTGATTCAGGAAGTCTGGAGCAGGACCTGAGATGCTACAAGGTGTGGCTGCTGCTAGCCAACAGGCCACGCTTAGGCCAGCAACCTTACATAGCAGCATGGTGAACAGCACAGACTTTGGAATCACACCCACCTGGGTCCAAATCCCAACTTTCTCCCTCACTAACCATGTGCCTTTGGACAAGTTCCTTAACCTCTCTGGGCTTCTACTTCTCACCCAGATCCTTACCTCAGCTGCAAATGAGAATAATTGTAACATCACTGAGTTTGCTCCAGTAAAGCCTGATTGTCCCCAGTCCTTGCACATAGTCAGAGCTCTCTAAGTGTTAGCCAACATCATCATTCTTATATCCATTTGCTGTGGAAAAAGTGGCAGGCTTGATATCAGAAAAGCTCTGCCCATCTTCCTGCTCCATGTTCCTGTCCCTGTACCCTTGACTTCATGCCTTTTCTTGGAGAAGACAGGCCTAGTCTCAGGTGACAGTGTAGCATCCAGCCATTTAGCTTCTCCTAATTTGGAGGTGCTGGCCACAATACCTGATTAGAGCTCAACTGCATTTTCTGAGTCCCCAGGGACAATGTCCTTCCACATAAGCAATCTCTCATTTCCTTCTCATCATGTGGATCTCAGCTTCGATGTTAATTCTTCTAAGAGGACTTCTTTGTCCACTCAGCTGACATAGCCACTCACACCTCCCTACAGCCCTTCTTAATTTTCTTCATAGAATGTGCCACTCCCTGGAATTATCTCTGCAATGCACAACTCAATTCTGACACCAACTGCCCTGAGTTAGCACAGCCTTCACAAGTTAAAAGCACAGTCCCCAACAAAACAGCCTTCTCTTCACACACCAGCTGCAAACTTGGGTGGCTCTCAAGCCACTCACATTTCTGACCAACTGACTACAAATTTGGGGTTGCTACTATTCTTTCAGGGTCAATAATTCACTAGAATGACTCACAGAACTCAGGTAAGTGCTATACTTATAATCAGAGTTTTGTTATAAAGGATACAAATCAAGTCTAGCCAAATGAAGAGATGCACAGGGTGAGGTCGGGGGAAGCTTCAGAGACAAGAGCTTGCATGTCCTCTCCCTGTGAAGTGAGAATTGTAGGAGTTAAAGAAAGAGGAAAGAAACACAAAAGGCAGCTCAACAGTCAAAGACAGGTTTATTTTGGAGAACAAACCTAAGAGGGGCTTCTGGCTGATTTCAGTCAAGAGCACTCTCTCTTACAGACTAAGAGTATTTAAGGGTTTTAGGGTGAGAGAGCTTATCACAGGCTTGGACTGTTTCTGTGTGGAAGAGAAGTTTATTGCAGGGTTGAAATGTCTCTGGTTGGAGGGGGGTTATCTTGGGGCTGACATCTCTCCGGCCTCTCTGGCCAGAGGGGAGATTATCTTGGGGCTGGCATGTCTCTGGCTGGGGAGGGGTTTATCTTGGGGTTGGAATGTTTCTGATTGGAGATATCATTTGTGGTTTATGGTCATGCTGACCTTAGCCTGATGCCCTTTGGACTTAGGCGATTTTTTTATCAAGGGGAACTTTAAAATGGCGGTGCTTGTCCAAGATGGTGATGCTCCTGCTCTGTCAAGAATTCCCTACTCTTCTGGTACACCAGTGTGCATCACCAACCAGTGACGCTCACCCAGGCTTTGGGTGTTCAATGATTTATTGGGATCTCATTCTGTAATCATGATTGATTAAATCATTGGCCACATGATTAAATATAATGTTTAGCCCCCTTTTCCCCTCCTCCCTGGAGATCAGGCTGATATCAGGAAGCTCAAAGCCTCAACCCTCTATCAGGTGGCTGGTCTTCCTGGCACACCCAGCCCCCATCCTGAAACCACCTAGGGGCCCACCATGAGTCACCTTATTGGCATGGACCCAGGCATGGTCCCTGGCGCTCACTATGAATAACAAACACTCCTATCACTTGAGAAAGTCCTAGGGTTTAGAAACTTGGTCCCAGGAACCTGGGACAAAGACCAAATTAATGACCTGTTATGAGTCAATCTCTTTTCTCTATTTATTTGCTTTATTGTCACCATTGTCCCTAACAGTAGACGGGAATCTCAGGCAGAAGTCTGTATCATGGTGCCAAGGACAATGCCTGCCACATTGAGGCACTCAGACATGTGTTCATTAAATTAATATGAATGGTTAAATAACCACAAAAGATGATTTAAATTAGCATTTCCAAGTAACAATGGAGGCAGTGCATGAGGCACTTCATGATAAATTGCAGAAAACTTGCACAGACAATAATTGTTATAAAGGTCCAAGAGAAGCACTATCACTTGATTTATATGCACAACTATTTTTAACCTCAACAGGGTTTTGCACATTTATTCATCTTAACTAAATGAAAACTTTTATTCCTTTGTACCTTGAAAATCCCTTGAATCTGATGATTATCTTTAAATTAAGGATTAAAAAAAAACTCTTTTGCTAAGTTTTTATACATTCTTTGGCAATTCTAAATTAAGATGCACATGAAGTATTAAATTTATATAACTCATTGTTTAATCTAAATTAGATTAACCCCCTTGGCCCTTCAGAGATCCAAGTAGAGGCTTCCATACTTTTGTTTATCCATGTCTCAAGGTTATTACTGACAAAATTACAATTAGTCAGTACTTCATGTCCATTGTTAGGGTGCTAAGCTGTGAGCTATAAACTACCTCACTCTGGCATAATTAAAACCGTGTTCCAGTTCACCTATTTTATGATACCTACTTGGCTTTCCATAAAGCTTCTTTTCACACTCCTAACTATGTGCAGGTCTGGGAAACTTGGGAACTTTACTGAAGAAAACTTTAAACATAAGCTTCTTCTTGAAGTTTGCTGATAGTTCTGTTATAGCAGTCTTACTATCATCAGGATAAAAAAATTGTACTAAACTATTGTAAAAACATAAGATTTGTATTACTACCTCTTTTTTTTTTTTTTTTTTTTTTTTTGAGACAGAGTCTCGCTCTGTCACCTAGGCTGGAGTGCAGTGGCGTGATCTCGGCTCACTGCAACCTCCGCCTCCTGGGCTCAAGCAATTCTCCTGCCTCAGCCTCCCAAGTAGATGGGATAACAGGAGCATGCCACCACACCCAGTTAATTTCCACGCCCAGTTAATTTTTGTATTTTTAGTATAGGTGAAGTTTCACCACATTGGCCAGGCTGATCTCAAACTCCTGACCTTAAGTGATCTGCCCACCTCGGCCTCTCAAAGTGCTGGGATTACAGGTGTGAGCCACCATGCCCAGCCTCTATTACTACCTGTAAAATAAATCCTAATTCAAAAGTCGCCATGTGTATGTACATAGGAAATAGTGCATTTGAACTGGCATTTACCTACTGGCATAACAAATTGCTCTTTGGAATAGATGCCTAGTCCCAAGTTAAGAAGAAAAGGGGACTCCTGTGTCCCATCCATAGTTTCTCATTAAGTCCAAGAGCCAATTGTGCTAAAGTAAATGAATATCTTCAAGCTAACCTATAAGGGGTGGTGGGAATATTAGTTGCTAGACCAACACTTAATCAAGAATCTCTCACACTGTCTAAGGGTGAATAGAACAACTAGACTTGTAGAGGATTGCTTAATCTTTTTATGAAAAAGTCATGTGCCAATTAAGATTCTAGCCATACCTCCTTCAGGGTTTTCTTGACTTACTCAAGCTTTAGACAATGAAGTGGCTCAATAATCTTTTCTGTAATCCCTATGTCTAATGTATTAAGTATTCCTTAATTCAATTTGGTAGATTACCCTAATCGATTTTGTTTTCTGGTATTTAAACCTTTAGAATTTAATTATATTATACTGAATAGGATACAAAGTAGGACTTGAGCTTAAAAGATGGCCTTTCATTTCACAGAAAAGAAATTTATATGTCAAGTATTTTGCTGTGGTATTCTCATTGACATAGCTGAGATGATAATGTAACCAGTTCACGACGTCAGGATTGCTATGAGAGAACCCCGTTACTGGGTGCTTGATTTGCTCTTTTGGTTTATCCAAAGATACTGAGTTTGCTCTGACTGCCTCGGTTTTCTCCATTTTAACAAAGGCAAAAACCAACACTTTGTATTAAATAACCTAAACCTTGGCATTGAACTTGTCAAAAGAGAAAATGACCTGAACATTAGAGCCAAGAAGATACTCTGTTGTATTTTACTTTGTTACTTAGGTATCTTTATTTATTCTTTACTTATATATTTCAAAAAGACATAGCCTTCCTTTATGGAAAAATTCATTTGTTATTATTTAAGTACAACAGATAGATAGATGCTCCAAAATTAAGTCTGAGTGTTTTCTTTGCCTGCAGAACTGACAGTTTGCTTGGCTTATGCTGATAATCCCCAAAAAAGTCGCTTGTGTCTTGAACATCCATAGGAAATAAAACTGTAGTTCCGGGCAGTGTCGATAAGAAAGCAAACTTTACACCTTCACTTAGGGGTTGAGAAAGAGAATGAGCTATTGATTCCACTCTGAACTTTAGATGGCCATATCACATCTGAAACCAGTCATTTCGTGGTGGGCAGTATTAAACCCGACTTTGTCTTATGACTTTACAAATTAGCGAATTATGTTGTTATGATAAGAGAACCCAACAAAAGTATCTGAGTTTGGAACATCAATTTTCAGGATGTTATATATTTGAGAACACTTCTCCACTGCTCCTCTAACTCCTCTAGCCTACCTAACTTTAATAGCCAGGCCTCCTTCCTACCTGTTTCCTTCCCCCTTCACAAGAAGCACCTATTAAGGAATCAAGAAAAAAAAAAGGATGACACTTACTTTCGGAATAAAGTAATATAGTCTCTACTATTTCTGCTTTCACACAGATTTGCCCTCCTTTCTGGCACAATTACACATACACACACACACACATGCAGATATACTTACGTATGCACACATGCAGGTATGCTTAGAATTTAGCATTAGGCTGGGTGCATTGGCTCACACCTGTAACCCCAGCACTTTGGGAGGCCGAGGTGGGAGGATTGCTTGAGCCCCAGGAGTTTGAGACCAGCCTGGGCAACATAGCAAGACCCTGTATTTACAAAAAAATAAAATAATTAACCAGGTTTGGTGGCACATGCCCGTGGCCCAACTACTTGGGAGGCTGAGGCAGGAGGATCACTGGAGCCCAGGAATTCAAGACTGCAGTGAGCTATGATTGTGCCACTGCACTACAGCTTGAGTGACAAAGTAAGACCTGTCTCAAAAAAAAAAAAAAAGGAACTTGGCATTTGCAATCCTGAACCTACTTTAACCCAAGGTAATATGGTTTGGCTCTGTGTTTCCACCCATATTTCATCTTTTAGCTTCCATAATTCCCATGTGTTATAGGAGGGACCCAGTGGGAGATGATTGAATCATGGGGACAGGTCTTTCCAGCACTGTTCTCATGATAGTGAATGGCTGTCAGAAGATCTGATGGTTTTAAAAATGGGAGTTTCTCTCCAGAAGCTCTCTTTTTGCCTGCTGCTATCCATATAAGATGTGACTTTCTCCCCTTGCCTTCCACCATGATTGTGAAGCCTCCCCAGCCATATGGAACTCTAAGTCCAATAAACCTCTTTCTTTTGTAAATTGCCCAGTCTTGGGTATGTCTTTATCAGCCATATGAAAATGGACTAACACACAAGGTAACCACAACTCAGGGCTTAAAACTTCTGGACACCAGTGTAGTTGGAAGATATAGAGAGGAAGCTGAAGAGAAATGAGAGGCAGCCTTGGAACTCGTTCCTCTCAGATAAGGGGGAACTGCTATAGTTGTACTCATGGGTATGACTACAGCAAAAGGATACAAAGCAAAGTCAGCAAAAGGAAACGTGCATGAGATGAAGTCCAGAGGAAACCAAACACAAGCTTCCAAGAGACTCCCACTGGAGTCCACAGAACACACTTAATTCCCCCAGCTATTAGTTGTGGCATCATGTGTGAAATGCTGTCTACAACAGAGGCTCACTAGAGACTCAGCACCCAAGGTTTTATTGGGTACTGGTCACAAAGGCAGCCCCTACCAGGCATGCACCCAAAACCCAGACTCCCAGAAGAAAGGCAGTTGTTTAGCACAAACCACATTGTTTGTACCAACAGTTCAGCATAGTGGGGCATTCTTATTAATCAGTTAACCCTCCTGAAATCTAACTTGGTGGGCCAGCCATGGGAAGCACTTCTCCAGCACAAGGATGCTGCCTCTCTCCTTCCCCTGCTCCCCAAACCCTTCTCCACACTCTTTTCCCTCTCCCTTCCATAGAAGTATTAAGAAGATGTGGGAACATCCAGATCTTCAACCTCACACCACCCTGCATCACACTCCTGACACCATCATACTCCACTTCCACCTGGCTTTGTCCTGCCTCTTCTAATTCTTTTGTTGTTTTTTTTTTTTTGAGATGGAATCTTGCTCTGTCACCCAGGCTGCAGTGCAGTGGTGCAACCTCAGCTCACTGCAAGCTCCTGCCATTCTCCTGCCTCAGCATCCCAGGTAGCTGGGACTACAGGCGCCCGCCACCATGCCCAGCTAATTTTTTGTATTTTTAGTAGAGATAGGGTTTCACCATGTTAGCCAGGATGGTCACAATCTCCTGACCTCGTGATCTGCCCACCTCGGCCTCCCAAAGTGCTGGGATTACAGGCATGAGCCACTGTGCCCGGCCTCCCTGTCCGAATTCTTAGAGAAGGAAAAGAAAAAAGACTGTGCTCTTTTCCCTTGAGCTGATCCTTTGTATCTCATGGCCTGCAGTTTCTGCTGCATCCATTCCCCGGGCAGCACCAGCTACATAATTTGCAAAGTCCAGTGAAAATGCAAATGCAGGACCATTTGTATTGTGAATTTTAAAAGAGAGACAATAAACCAGGTGCCAGGCCCTTCTGAGGCTGTGAGGGTCACACACCTATGTTTCTACGTGCTAGCGAAAGCACAAGGTCAACCCTAGATTCTGAATATCACTGGGGCATGGCAGACCTTGCAGATGTGGATCTGCAAGCTTGGTTTCTCTAATAGCTTTGAACCACAAGAAACATTTATGTGATGAAAACCAAACTATATATGGCAAAAATATTTAACACAGGGGCTTCTTATATGTACTGGCAAACCATATCATATTATTGAGTTTTCCCTAAACTTGATTACAGAAATTACCTGGGGTTCTTATCAACATGCAGATTCCCACACAGCTCCCCTAGAGATTTTGATTTGGATTCTCCAGAGTGGAGCCCAGTAACCTGTTTTTAAGAAGTTTTCTAGAATATTTTTCTGACAGGGAAAGTGTAGAAACTTAGGCTCAGAATATTTGGGGGCAGACAGGCCTATGCTGAAATTCTCCATTTATCAGCAGTGTGACATTGGGAAAGTTATTTAATTTCACTAAGCTTCAATTTCCTCATCTGTAAAATAGAAATAATTGTGCTAGTACAAAAGGTTGCTATGGGAATAAAATGAGACAAATGTCTGTAAAGAACTTAGAACAGTGACTGCTACAGTAAGCTGTCAGTAATCGTAGTTATAAATATTACAGAAAAAGAGTAGAACTCATTTAAAACCCTCAGTTTTGTAATACTAGATGAATTAAGCTTAAATGCAAATTGCTAAAGGCAACAGTTATTTCTGTCAAATTAAACTCATTCAGAAATAATAAATTACAATCTGAAGTGAACAAAAGGCTCAATCAGTCATCAATGGTAAACATTTTGAGCACTGCTATGGTCTGTTTTTGTCTTTCCAAAATTTATATGTTGAAACCTAATCACCCACATGACAATATCAGGAGGTGGGGCTCTGGGAGGCAATTAGGTCATGAGGCCACTCCCATTAATGGGATTAGTACCCTTGTAAAAGAGACCCCAGAGAGCTTATTGGCCCTTTCTGCCATGAGAGACTTCAGCTGGAAGGCACGATCCATAAGCCAAAAAGTAGACCTTCATCAGATATCAAATCTGCCTTAATCTTGGACTTCCCAGCCTCCAGGACTGTAAGAAATAAATTTCTGTTTTTCATAAGCTACCCAGTTTACGATATTTTGTTATAGGTAGCCCAGACACACTAAGACAAGCACCTTGTGTTGGCAGTGTCACGATGCCTCCGTTCTTGTCTTCTTAGTTTAAAAGAATTTAAACAGCTGGGTGTGGTGGCTCAGGCCTGTAATCCCAGCACTTTGGGAGGCCGAGGCGGGTGGATGACCTGAGGTTGGGAGTTCAAGACCAGCCTGACCAACATGGAGAAACCCCGTCTCTATTTAAAAAAAATACTGAATTAGCTGGGCGTGGTGGCACATGCCTGTAATCCCAGCTGCTTGGGAGGCTGAGGCAGGAGAATCGCTTGAACCGGGAGGCGGAGGTTGTGGTGAGCCGAGATCACGCCATTGCACTCCAGCCTGGGCAACAAGAGCAAAACTCTGTCTCAAAAAAAAAAAAAAAAATTTAAACAAGAGACGCACAGTGAAGCGGGTGCAGCATAATTTATTGCAAAAGAAAAAGAATACTTTGAAAGTTAAGTGCAGAATAGACAGGATGCTCTGAGAGAGAGAGGAGTCAGGGTGGGCTGCCGGGGAGGATGAGACAGAAAAGATTGGCGGGAGGGAGACTCCCCTTATGGGAGTCTTACCTGATTATTCCTAAGGAGGTGAAAAGAGGTGTTACCAGTAAGCATGTTCTGGGTGGTTCTCTGGGTGCACATGCGCAGTAGCCGCACATGCGTGTTCATACGTCTCATGTCTCATTAACATCTTAAATCTCCACCTAGGGGTGTATTTTATACCATTATAATGAACAAAGGGTCAGTCTGAGGACGGATGAAATCAAAGTGCGCATACTCTCTACAGGGGGAGTCCCTAATGAAGATAGCTTTGCTTGAACGAGCTCAATTACCAAGCGAATGCTGGGGCTTATTGTATTGACTGTGTGGTCACCACGGTTGCTGCGTCCTAAGAACATGGTCATTTCTTTTTTCTTTTTTTTTTTTTTTTTTTTTTTTTTGAGACGGAGTCTCACCCTGCTGCCCAGGCTGGAGTGCAGTGGCACAAACTCCGCTCCCTGCAACCTCTGCCTCCCGGGTTCAAGTGATTCTCCTGCCTCAGCCTCTCGAGTAGCTGGGATTACAGGCGCCCGCCACCACGTCTGGCTAATTTTTTGTATTTTTAGTAGAGACGGGGTTTCACCGTGTTGGCCAGGCTGGTCTCGATCTCCTGACCTGGTGATCCGCCCACCTTGGCCTCCCAAAGTGCTGGGATTACAGGCGAGAGCCACGGCGCCCGGCCCATGGTCACTTTTTTGACTACCTATCCTGCCTCATTGATAGCAGGCTGCAGATACAGAGGCGTGACCGATGATTTTTGCAATCAAGGAATTGATCATCTATTTCAGGATAAGTTAGAGAGGTGAGAAGATGCATCTCTTTAAAAGGAAACACATAAAGGTTAAAGGGCAAAGCAAAGAGAATGAGTAAAGACCATTTTCCGTGGGGATTGGTGGAGTGGGTAGAAGGCTTGAGCTGGAGAATATTAGACAATGATTAGCCAAACGTAAAGAAGCAAAAGTTTCCTGTAGAAAAATATGCAAACATACACAGTAAGCATTCAGTAAATACTTGAATGAGAAAATGAGACCTGAGTTGGAACCAGAAAAACCGACAAATGCCAATAATCCCAGAGCTGAAGATAGTCTGTAGACAGTGGGGAGTTTGTTAGCCAGAAATAGGAGGGGTGAGTGGGAAATCTTTAATTAAAATAAAACCTTTAATCTTTAATTAAAATATTAAACTCTTCACTTGTGCTTAGTTGCAGAGATCTATGCCTATGTAGTTTTTTAAACAAATAAAACAAACATTGCCAATAAAATGATGTAATTCAATAAAGGGCTTACAGTAGGTTCCACATCCAACAACGCTATACTGAAAATACACAATTAAAACTTATTGTTATATTCTCATTATAGAAGTCTTTTTTTTTGAGACAGAGTGTTACTCTGTCACCCAGGTTGGAGTGCAGTGGTGCAGTCTTTGCTCACTGCAGCCTCTGCCTCCCGGGTTCCAGTGATTCTCCTGCCTCAGCCTCCTGAGTAGCTGGAATTACAGGCACGCACCACCACACACAGCTAATTGTTGTATTTTTAGTAGAGACGGGGTTTCACCATGTTGGCCAGATGGTCTCCTGACCTCAGGTGATCCGCCCACCTCGGCCTCCCAAAGTGCTAGGATTACAGGCATGAGCCACCATGCCCGGCCAGTAGAAATCTTTTTTAAGAAGACTTTTAAAAGCTACTCATTTTAGACAAGCCTTTCTTAATTGTGTAAGAATGCTTGGAAAAAAGTAGTATTTTACTATTTTTAATAAATCTGTAAAATTATTGATGACTGCTAGCTTTTCTGTTTTGCTTCATTTATAAGTGAATGAACAGTGATTGTTGTGGGTTGAATAACATTCCCCAAAAGAGATGTTGAAGTCGTATCCCCTCATGCCTGTGAATATGATCTTGTAGGAAATAGGGTCTTTATAGATATAATCAAGTCAAGATGAGGCCATACTGAATTGGGGTGGGCCCTAACCCTATATGACCGGTGCCTTATAAGAAGAGAAAGCGCACACACACACACTCTCACACACGGGGAGAACACTATGAAAAAATGGAGGTAGAAGTTGCAATTTTGCAGTTGCCCTGCCTTAAGCCAAGGAACATGAAGGATTGCCGGCTACTGCCAGAGCCTGGGAGAGAGGCACGGGTGAACATTCTCCCTCAGAATCTGCAGAAGAAATGAGCCCTGCCAACTTGGACTGTGGATTTCTACCCCCAGTACTGTGGGAGAATAAATTTCTGTTGATTTGAGCCACCCAGTTTTTGGTACTTTGTTAAAGTAGCCTGAGGAGCCTAATACAGTGACTTCCTAATCAAAGAATGTGGAGGCGCAATTCAAGTGGTCTTTTCAACTCCAAGAGGATTGGGCTGTGTTTGTTATGGTTAAAGGACCATTAGCAGTTGTTGAAAGGATAAAGGGAAGGTACTTCAGTCTGATGCGGAGTCAGTGAGGACACCCACCGCTCCCCTGCAGAGCAGTGTCTTGAGAGAGAAAGGGTTCTCCTCTCTGTAGGAGAAGCAAGCTCCATTCCTGGTGCTCCTCTGTATGATGGGCATGGCTACCTATGCCTGCCCTCCAGAGGGGAAGAAGCCTTTGTGTTTAGGACCCCGGGATGATGTTGACAGCTATGATCACATAATAATAATTGTATGATAATGATTGCAGATAACATCTGTTGCGTATCTACCATGTGTCAGATCTAGTTAAGCACTTCACAAATCAACTCATTTAATCCTCGCAAGTATATAGTCCATGAAGGTCATATTATTACCCTTATTTTACAGACGTGAAAACCATGATAGAGATTCAGTAATTTGCTCCAAGTGACACAGTGAATGACAGAGCTGGAATCTAACCCAGGCAAATTGGCTCCAAAGCCCATACTTTCAGCCTTTACAGTTTAGCAAGGCTGCACCAGACCCCAACAAAAACTAGTTCTTTTGTATAACAAGAGAAAGATTCCCTGGCTGAATTCTAGCAGACTAGATTCCTCAGTGCCATTACGGGCTGAGGACTTACAAACATGAGGAAAAGATAATGGCTAGTTTGGTTTTCTAGGTCTGCCTTAGCAAATTACCACAAACTTGGTGGCTTAAACTAGAGCGACTTCTCTCAACAGTTCTGGAGCCAGAAGTTCAAAGTCAAGCATCAGCAGGGCCACATCCCTCTGAAGGATCTGGGGGAGGATCCCCTTCTTGACTTTTCCAGATTCTGGGGGCTCACGGCAGCCCTTGGCTTATGGCAGCAAAACTCCCAACTCTGCCTGTCTCCACAAGGATTTCATTGTGTGTTCAAGTGTCCTTTCTGTCTCATGTCAGGAAAGTCTCATTGGATTTAGGACCCACGCTAATTTAGTGTGATCTCAAGTGATCCTTAGCTTAATTACATCTGCAAATACCCAGTTTCCAAATTAGGTCACACTCTGAGGTTCTGGGTGGACATGAATTTGGGAATGGGGAATGATATTCAACCTGCTACAATGGCCAAGAAACATCTACCTAGTTCAAAAGAGAACAGGATCTACTGGAAAGCTTCTCAGCTCTTGGAGCCCCACAACTGTGTCTCCTGGGTCCTAGCCTTCAGCCTGGCTCTCAGCACAGCTCTTTGCGGATAACATGGCTCTACACTGCGTCGAACAGATTTGGTGGCAGTGACTCACCTAGCAGAGTTCTCAGCAGCCCACCTGGAAGGTCCCATCACATTGTTGTTATTGCAGATAGCACTTTCACTGTTACTCAATTTTTTTTCTAGTATCTTGTGAACAATGTGTTTCAAAGTATAGGACGACTTGGTGGTTAATGTCACAAAAGCAATCATTGGAGTTGTCAATCACAGAATGACATTACATAAAAGAATTAGGACTCTTCTTGCTCAAGATGCTTTATACATGAGCATAAATTGAGAGTTATGTATATTTGGATAGTAGAAAAGCTATACATTAATGTGCATCTTAATGAGGATGATTTTCTTCTTTTGATAACCAATGTGTCTATGAAGCCATCTAGCTAGGTACTGGTGAGAAAAATGTTTCAAATAAAGTATTTTTATTGGAGCATATAAAAGAGTTACAAAAATATTTCTGTAAAATTTTCTGGTCTATTTTTTTCAGGTTGGTACTTTTTAATGGTTTAGCTGTTAAATAAGCTTCATCTATTAACTTGTATTCAGAAATAAGCTTAATTATTCATCAATTCATGCTCACCTTATATTTTATGGTTTTCCAAATGGATGATATCTTCTATGTCTGTACATTTTTTATTAAACATAAGTCATTTTATGCCCATAAAGCTTATTCCTGAAAAAATTATTTTGCTACTAAAAAAGATCATTAAGTTCACAAATTTTCTCTCCATGGCTTGATGCTGCTATCTTTCTGCACCATAATTAGTTGCATGTATAGTTAATTATTATGAGAAAAGCAGAACATCTCCCAATTTCTACAAGATACTTAGAGTTTGATGGTTTAACTATGTTTTCTCCTTCATTTCTCCCATCCACCCTCCAGCCACGTGTATTTTCATGGTAGGAAGATGATAAGCATACGCTTTTTCAAAATGACAGCAAAATGTTCATCAGGAACTTCATAAAGCTTTGATAGACTGAATATATATTTAGAACCAGCATTTCAATGGCTCTTTACCTTTTCTTAAGAATTTCCTTATCTATGACCCTCATTGCTAGAAAAAAAATGCGCACTTTTATATAAACACAACATTTTTCATATAATTTTAAAGAGATTTGAAACCCTCTGAAGGCTATATGTAGTCCCCATGCCAAGAATGCCAGATTTGGGAACCAACATTTCTTATCCATTTATAATGCTAATTAATTATTTCTCTTAAAAAATACTCTAGTTAGCCTGTAAAATTCATTTAGATGACACATTTAATTTTGCCCAAAACCTTGATTTTTTTGGAGGAAAAAATAATGTAAGAAAATACATTATTTTAGGTTAGGATCTTTAAATTCTCACAGTCAACCACCATGGTTTCTTTGTACGACCTAAGCTCATTCACTGGTGGGCAAGTGTTTTGGGGACCAGGAGTGGATCTGATTCATCTCTGTATCTGCCACAGAGCCTAGCATGATGGTTTAGACATGGAGGGAGCTCAAGTAATACTGTTACCGGTACACTTGTTATTTAATTTTAAAAATTAGGAATGGCTACTGTGTAAGTACATAAACATTTAAGTTCATAAATTTGTTTACAGTTGAACACAAAAAGGCCATTTGTGTTCAGATATGTGACCTGGGGAAGAAAGATGAAATGGGTATTTTGATCAGCACGGGGAGCAGTCAGTGGGCCTACAGAGAAGGCGATTAGAAAAGCCTTGTGCTGACAGTGCAGGTTCTATGATATGGAAAGAACTAGTGAGGAAGATGCACATGCTTAGTAGCTCCTAGGAAGAGTTCTCAAGGAGCATCAACCTCTATGTGTCCTTCCCAAGGAAGCAGTGGGCCCTAGATTGGAGGAATTCAGGATAAAACACACAGTCCTGCTAACCATTTCTTATCCCAGTCACCTGAAGGGATGAGATCAGAATTACTAGGGAAAGACTTTGCAGTGGGATAGATATGCTTCCAAGGTACTTCTCCCAGCCCCTAATACTTCCTGTTTGCTAATGCTTAAAATCTCTCTAACCTAAAATCTCCCTAACCTAACCTTTCATTTTAACATTAGAGGAAAAAAAATTTGCTAAATATTGACTGAAATTTATTCACCCTAAATTTAATCACAAAAGTACAAGAGCAAGCATACTTCCTCTCTGATTCCGTGAATGAGAAGTATTGAGGAGCCAAGGTTGGAGAAGGGGTTACCATTGAGAATCGGAGAGGGCACCAGAGGTCAAGACTGGGGAAAAAGACAAATTGAAAAGACATTCTATCTTTCCCTAGGATTGTTCCAATTATCAATCCTATTAGATAAGCATATGTAGAAACCTGGTATAAAAGAAATTATTTTGTATGGCTAACCACTCTCCTTCAAAAAACTTCACAATTTGTTAAGTTTAGATAAAGATTTATCCTCTTGTTTGATTAGTTTCCTTAGAAATAAATTTCATTCTTAGGGGTTTCACTAATTAAGATAAATAGACAATTAGCCTCTTGGCAGCAGAAGCTACTTCTTATTTATCTCTGTATTCCCAATGCCTAGGCCAGTGCCTAGCATAAATATTGTGCTTAATCAGGATTATAATATGTATATTTCTTGAATGAAGATAACAAAAATATCTATTACAACTCTAAGTGATTTATTAATTGATTTGAGAAAGGATTTATGTTAACTTACAAAAGTTCATTCAATAAGAGGTTACATCAAATATTTAAATCATTGCAAGAGGAAATTAGAAGTAAAGCCAATGAAATGAAGTTATATAGCTAATAAATCAATTTTTCTTAGTTGTAATAAGTATACAAAATCTTTCTGCATGTAATGTGTATGCTATCAGCTTAATATAGGCATGTTTTAAACCATGATAAAGAAAATATTCCAATATCTCAAATTCTTTCAGAATTATGCCAACCCTAGAACACAGTTTCTAGTATGTGATTAAGCCTTCTATTTTTTAAAAAAGTATTTCTCAATTGACTGCTTTACATAAATCATATAGGTGTAAATTTGAATTATTACTACATAAATTTTTCTTAGATTTATGACAGAATTAAAATAGCCTTTTAAGTCTTAAAAATATTAATAAGAAAAGCTCAATTATGTGAACACAGCTAATAATACATTCATTCTGGCAGGCATTGTGCAAAGTTTTCAATGAATATGAATATCTTTATGAAATATGAGAAGCTTTGTTCATTTACATACAAGTTCCTTAGTCTCCTACATTAATTATTTTTTCTCATTTTTTCATGTGGAACCTTTTCCAGTAAGTTCTCATAAGACAACAAATGACCCAGTGGAGTACCTATTTAAAACATTATAAACAAAGAAAGCTTCTTTCTTCAGCCCTGTTCTTTAATATGTAATGAAAATGCTTCATCTTTCATTACAGAAATGTTTTATGTTCTAACCTCTTAACCTCATTATTATAGTTTGGTTAGATTTTTAAATAGAACTCGAGTTTTTCTCAGTGTTTCAGACAGGAAGAAAGGTGGAGTACCTGACAACCTGTTCCAGGAAAGAATGTTCAATAATCAAGCATCTATCTCCTCTTCCTGAGTTAATCCAGTTAGCTTATGAGGCAAGCATGGGGGAGTTGCAAAGTAAATCAAGGTGCTGAATTCTACTCTCATCCTGATCCTAAATGGATTGAGTTTTGTTCTTTCTTATGTACTATCCCCATATTCACAGTTACAGACTTTGCAGGTCACTTGCTGTCTTTGTCATATTGGGATGCTCTAACATACCATAGACTGGGTGGCTTATAAACAACTGAAATTTGTATCTCCCAGGTCTGGAGACCAGAAGCCTGAGCCCAGGCTGGCAACAAGGTCAGGCTCTGGTGAGGGCACTCGTCTCGGTAGCAGTCTGCCAACTTCTCCTTATATCCTCCCAAGTGGGAAGAACCAGAGAGCTCGTTAGGGCCCCTTTTTATAAGGGCATTAATCCCACTCATGAGGGCTCCATCCTAAAGACCTAATAATCCCCAAAGGCCCCCCTTCTCATGCCATTACATTGGTGATTAGGGTTTTAGCATAGGAATTTGTGGGGGACACAGACATTCAGTTCATAGCAGTGGAAGATAAGGGGTGCTGTGCAGACATCATGGGCTCTATGTGTCACATAATGTAGCATCTCATACAGGGTAAACAATCGCCACTGTTATCTCTTCCCAAAGCCCTGCTGTGGGGTCTGCTCACCGGCCCTGCATCCAGTCAAGGAAGGGGAGGTGGAGAAGGGCACTTGAATGCTGAGTGGCACCAAGAGGAATGTGCAGATGTCATAAACTGGAAAATTGGGGCTAAAGGTGAAACAGCATCATACAAATGTCTTCCCTCCAAAAGCTCAATCTTATTTTAGAAATATATGATCCATGAGGACTTTATCATAAATTGGCCCAAAACAGCCAGTCAGCTACTGAGGGTCCTCATTTTCCAATGAGTGCATGTTTTGCTGCTTCAGTGGTCCAGCACGATTTGGAAGTATTATTGCTTTGTTACTGAAGAGACCTTTGTTTTGATTCAGTTGCCAATATTCTCTAAGATGGTTTAATGTGAGCCATGGTACTTAGGTGTAATCCTGTAAGGTTTCTTTTCCTGGGATTCACAGTCCCTGCTTTCAATAGAGTCTCACGAGGGTCTATGACCCTTCCAGACAGCACTGATTTCAAGTCTGTATCACTTTATAAAATCCTACACATAGTCGTGATCTTAGAAAAAAAATGGACACAATATAGAACACAAAAAGATGAACCCATTACTAACAAATCTCCATATATCCATTGTATCTAAGTCATACTCTATGAGCCCAAAGGCTAATAAAAAAACAGGATCAGACCCAGGTACAGGGGCAACAGTGCCAACTTCTGAAAGCAGGGATATTGGTGTAGCGAAATAGAGAATATGAAAGAAAAAACAATACTCTGTGAGAAATAGCCTAGTAGCCTATACTTTATGCCAATAAGCTTTATAGGAAGTTCTTTTTTTTTTTTTTTTTTTTTGAAACAGAGTCTTGCTCTGTTGCCCTGGATGGAGTACAGTGGTACAATCTCTGCTCACTGCAACCTCTGCCTCCCAGGTTCAAGTGATTCTCCTGCCTCAGCCTCCTGAGTAGTTGGGATTACAAGCATGCGCCACCACGCCTGGCTATTTTTGTATTTTTAGTGGAGACAGGATTTCACCATGTTGGCCAGGCTGGTCTCAAACTCCTGACCTCAAGTGATCTGCCTGCCTCGGCCTTCCAAAGTGCTGGGATTACAGGCATAAGCCACCGTGCCCGGCCATAATAGTAACTTTTATATCCCAGACAAAAAAAAAAAAAAAACTGAGTTAGGCTTACAGACTTGACTCTGAGGGGCTCATGATAATAATTTTCTTTTTTTTTTCTTTAGTTCGTTTGTTTTAGCATGTGCTCAGAGGAAAAAGAAAAAGAATTTATGGAAGAAATCTCTAAATCATATTCCGTTCTTTCATGAAAGTGGGCAATTCAAATAATTTCACTCAATTTTCAAGTGAGATATTCACAGTAATTTGTATCTTCAGGTTGAGGCTAAGCTTCATTGCACTTCATGGGAATATATAGAACATTCTAGCAAATCTTTCTTAGACTATTACATCTTTGACTTACATGTTTATGAAGAATCATCTGTGCCTCTGATTGGCCTTATATAAATACAAGGGTCATTTCAGAGAGCAGTTCTTAACTGACTTGGAAAAGCCTAAGAGCCAAACAATTCAGCAGCTCTTCCACATTGATGGCACCAGCCACATGCAGTACATGTGCTTTACGCATTTCATTATTGCATCTCTTTGTCTTATGAGTTTATTGATGGAAAATTGTGCCTTGTCTTTTATCAAGTAAACATATTTCAGAAGACATCTACATGCTATCAACAAAACAGAGCAAATTCAGAAAATGTAGGACTTCGTTGTACTTGGGGGATTACTTCAATTGCCTTAATAGTCTACCAGAGTAGAAATATTACATTCTTTAAAGTTCAGATAAATAATTTGTGCTGCTTATGTAGGAAGTAAGCTATTCTCCACTGTAAGCAGTCTTTTATGTTGACAATATAGAAATAATCTGTCTTATAAGCTACACTGCATCTAAAGCCCTGACACTACAGATTTATGCATACTTCTGGCTGAAAATAATATTGAAATGTGAAAATGAAATCTTTCACCAAATCTCTGGGAACATAGGTTTGAGGCTGGCTTTGGAATCACTAAAAATTCATTGATTCCCAAACGTAGACTAAGTACCATAAGAACTGACTAGGGTACTTGATTGAGCTTGTGCTGTATGGTTTATTACACTGGTGGTAGGAATGTGTCAATAGTGATTATACTGCTCTAAGTATTTTGTTTTAGGGTATGATTCTAGCTTCCCTTGTATCATTACTCAAAACTCCAAATGAAGTGTGTAAGAGTATTTTTCAACCCTGGATTTACTTGCATTCCATACTCATTAAATATATGACACAATAAAATGTCTAGGTCTTATGCAAGGAACTTCAACTCTTCTATGGCTCCTGGCCTAAAAAGGTATCTGTGAGAGGCAGAATAATGTCCGCCACCAAAGATGTCCACATCCTAATCTTCAGAACCTGTGAATATGCGACCTTACATGGCAAAGGGGATTTAGCACTTATGACTAAATTAAGGATCTATAAATGCGGAGATTTTCCTGCAATTCGCTGGGTAGGTAGAATCTAATCACATGGATCCTTAAAAATAGTAGGAGGAGGCCGGGCACAGTGGCTCATGCCTGTAGTCTCAGCACTTTGGGAGGCCGAGGTGGGTAGATCACGAGGTCAGGAGTTCAAGACCAGCCTGGCCAAAATGATGAAACCCTATGTCTACTAAAAATACAAAAAAAAAAAAAAATTAGCTGGGCATGGTGGCGGTTGCCTGTAATCCCAGCTACTCGGGAAGCTGAGGCAGGAGAATTGCTTGAACCTGGGAGGCAGAGGTTGCAGTGAGTGGAGATCACGCCACTACACTCCAGCCTGGGTGACAGAGCAAGACTCCATCTCAAACAAACAAACAAACAAGCAAAAAACATTTGAAGCATTGAGATTAAAGTGTTTTCTTTGATTAAAAATCTGTCAAGAGTAATTAGAACCTGCTTCCTTTCCTCTTCTCATTGTACAGCTTACAATATGGATCAAGAAATTGTTTCTATTGACATACTTCTTTCCATGTTTAGATCGGCTTCCAAGATCTTATCCTTTCCACTTTCAATGTCATGAAAAATCATTGAGAGTTCCTTTAATGCGAAATGTTATGCCAGTGTCACTTCCTGTGAGACAGCTTCATCCTTTTTGGGGTCACAACCACCTTCCTTATTTGTGTAGTTCAATTCATTTAACCTGAGTTCCTCTGGCTACAAATCTGGAGTCTCTGAAACAATGACACATTCAGCTATTGCTTCTATAACTCCATTTACATTCATTTCACATTTCACTTTCAGCATCATCACTCTCTGTTTCTTGATGCACTTTTATCTTAGTTAGCCAATTCTCCCTTCTCGTGTCCAGTTTTGTAAAGTGTTATATGGGCTTATCACTGGGAAACAAGGAGGCAACATAACCACATGCTTTGCTGTGTGTGGAAAGAATAACATTATGTGGAGTAACAAACCCTTAATAGATTTTGAAAGAAGTGACATGGTTGGTCACTGATCATGATGCACATCTGTTATTTCTGTATAGATACTTCTGAATGCACAATGAGGTTATGTCCCAATAAATCCATAGAAAACACATAGTTGAAAATATATCAAAAGTTGAAAATTCGTTTAATACACCTAACCTACCAAACATGATAGCTTAACCTAGCCTACCTTAAACATGCTAAGAACACTTACAGTAGCCTAGAGTTGGACCAAATCACCTAACACAAAGCCTATTTTGTAATAAAATATTGAATATCTCATGTGATTTATAGAATACTGCACTGAAAGTGAAAAACAAAATGGTTGTACAGGTACTCAAAGTACAGCGTCTACTGAATGCATATGGCTTTTGCACCTTCCTAAAGTACAACAATTTTAAGGCAAACTGTCATAAGTCAGGGTTCATCTGTAGTGTTTTTGGACAGGAGAGCTAGTAACAAAACTTGAACACTATACATATGCATAATTAAATTTGTATATTATGCAATTACTCAAACTTAGTATAGCACAGTAACTAAAATTTGAACCATGTTGGGAGACTGGTATATTTACCTATACTATAGTAACTGAAATTTATGCATATTAAAGTGTGTGCAAAGCAAGGACTGCCTCTTTGTGTGTGTATGTGTATGTGTGTGCTCTGTATGTTTTGCATATTTTCAAACTTTAAATAAATGCCATCATATAATATTTATCCTTTTATGAACTTGCTATTTACATTCAAACAATGTTTCTGATTATTCTTATTAATGTATGCAGTCACCGTTTATTTCTTTTTCTGTTTTATGATATTCCATTCACATGACTATACTACACTTCAAGTTATTTATGTATTCTTTATTGAAAATATATATTGCTTTCAGTTTTTTATTTTTGCAAATATGACTCCTCTGAGAATTAATTTATTGCTTCCATGTAGTCATGTGCAAGAATTTCTCTAAGGTAACTATATCTAGGTGTGGAGTTATTCAGTTTTAAACCTTATTAGATATTTCCAAATTGTTTTCCCAATTTACACTTTCAAGTAAGTTTTAATTTTATTTTGACTCAACTTGCTCCATAACAGTTAGTATTGGCAAATTCCATTTTACCAATCTGATCACATAAATGAATGAGGCTAAACTAATTTAATTTGGGTTTTCTTGATTAAGGGTGAGACTGAGCATATTTTCAAGTTTCCTCAAATATGAGTTATCTGTATCTTTTGATAATTATATTAATATATATTATTTACATAAACCAAATATTAATGTTTATAATTTGTATATACTGCAGCTGTCATCTCCTAATCTTTGTCTTGTCTTTTTATTTGAATTATGATATATTTTGATGTGCAGAAGTTTTAATTTGAATATAGTAGAATTCATCCATTTTCCTTTTTGGTTTATGTTTTGTGTCTTATGTCATAAAAATATTATCTTTTGTGCTTCATGCCTTTTTTCTTTTATGATGTCTTTTTTCTTTTAAAAGTTTTAACCGTTTTCTATGTTTGGGTCATTAAAATACATGGAACTCAATTTTTTTAATGGTATAATCTAAGGGTTCAGTTTCTTATTTTTGACACATATACAACCAAATTTTCCATCATCAAACATGGGAAAAATTCTTTCTCCACTGAACTGTAAAGCCACCTCTGTCATACATCAAGGTTTTTTTTTTTTTATTAGACTTTATTTTTTAGAGTCAATTTAGGTTCACAGCAAAACTGAATAGAAAGTACAGAGATTTCACATTCACCCTCTGCCCCCACATATGCACAGTCTCCCCTACTGTCAACATCCATCAAGTTTTTATACATGCAAGGGTCTCTTTTGGGCTCTATATTTTTTTCCTTTGTTCACATTGTCAATGCTGCACAAATTTCATACTGTGCTAGTGATACATCTTCATAATAGAACTTGGTTTCTGATAGAGTTTAGTCTACAGTGTTGATTTTTAATAAAGTTCTTAAAATTTCTAACTAAAATTCATGCAAATTTTGCTACTGCAAATAGTATCTTTTAATAAATTACTTTTTCTAATGATTGCTGATAGATAGAAATGTAATTTTTTGATAATGTGAGACAGAATTCACATTACATATAATTCATCCATTTACAATGTAAAAGTCAATAGCTTCTGTTTTTTGAAATTATATGTATATATATAATCATATAGTGTGAATTCTTTGTGTCTGACCTCTTTCAGTCAACGTTATGTTTCTGATATTCAAGTTTTTGTGTGTAGTTATGTCCATTTATTTTTATCACTGTAGAGTATCCCATCATATAAATATATCAGTATTTGTGTATCCTGTTTTCAGTTTGGGCTATTGCTGATTATACATCATTATTCTAGAATTTCCTTTTGGTACATTTTAAACCTGCCCACTCTCTAGAGAGTATTTTATTATTTTCTCACGGTTTTCATTTCTTTTGGTCTGTCTTACAAGTGTCTTAAGTATATTTGTTTTGTATCTTTTTTATAATTATTACATTACCTTGAGGGTTTAGAGGGTTTTTCTGGCACTTTTTCACAGTGGCTTATTTCCTCATCTGTTTTGGTATTTTTGTTATCTTTCTGCTTATCCCTTGCACCTTGCAATGTGTGAGACTCATTTTGTCTTAGGTTGATGTTGCTCTGTCTCAACAGGATTTGGATTTGCTTATACACGTGCTTTGATACATAATCTAGGTTGGGTTTATGTTCATTTATTGGCTTGGCTTTTCTTGGACTCTCAAGTAGTGTATACTCAAACTGTAGACCTCTGTGAGGGCAGGCCTGTGGTTATGAACTCTCAGGAGAATAGCTCTTCCTTATTCAGTATTCTGGCCAAGACAGATGACAGACATTTCCTATGGCCAGTAGTCAGCTGTGTTTCCTAGAACATCCTATCATTGAAGATGTAGCCTTCAGGGGCCTCAGCCCTGTGCATCCTCTAGATTCCCACCACAGGGGAGCCCAGGGCACTTTCCTGTCCCTGGAATGCTGTGCAATTCAATCCTCTCGCTTTCCAAGATAAAGGAATGTCCCCAGTTAAGGGCCAGCTCACCACTCTGATGTTCTTCCCCATTTTTTTGGTTTTTGCCTTTTTGTTTATTTCTTTGTTTAAGAGGGGATGTTGCTTTGTTGCCCAGGCTGGCCTCAAACTCCTGGCCTCAAGTGATCTTCCCCCCTCAGTCTCCCAAAGTGTCGGGATTACACTGGCATGAGCCATCATACCCAACCCTTCCCCTTCTTTTTCTACCATTGGGATTTATCTTGCTCTTTCGAGTCCCCAGCTATACCTTAAAAAAGACACTTGTTAATTTTTATGCAGCATTTGTGGGAATTATTTTAGAGATTTTCAGAACCCCTAGTCTGTCATAATACCAGGATAGAAAGTAGAATGGTGCTGGCCAGGGCCTGGGGAGATGGAGAAATGGAACATTGCTGTCCAACCACTGTGAAATTTCAGTTATGCAACAGGCATAAGTTCTAGGGATCTGCTGATCCACCTTGTGCCTGTAGGTAACAATACTGTATGGTGCTCTTCAAAATTTGTTAAGAGGGTAGATCTCATGTTAAGTGTTTTTACCACAATAAAAAAATTGTTTTTTAAGAGTTGAAGACTATTTTCTGAATAAAAACAAAATGAAACCTCATAAGTAAATTCAGAGTTGCCTAGTAAAATGTGTCACACGCATAATAAAAGTGTAAAACATTCACACTCCTCACTCTCATTTAATTATCAAGAATTAATTAAGCTTTTATTTTTCTTCCATAAATTCCAAGTTCCCGATAGCTAACTTCCAAAGCTAAAAGTAATGTTACTTTTGACTCTTTTGCTACAACAAATAATACTACACTAATACCCTGGCATGTATTGTGTGGCTATGTAGAGTATATCTGTAGGAAATGTTGGTGGAGGTGGAGCTGCTGGTTAAGGGTGAGAGAAATTTTAATTTTCTAGCTTTCAAATTATACCATTCAGCCTCCCTTTTGTAAACTGTTAGTTTAAATTTGCTTTTCTGTAATTGTACGTGAGTGACAATTATTAACCCCAGTTAAATGAACAAGGAGTTGATCATCTGGGGGTGTTCACAGTGCTGAAATTATGAGGAAAAGATGTGGTTCAGGAGAAGCTTATTAAATGTACTTTCCTTTTTCTCCACCCCCACACCAACATGCTGACAATAGAAACTCATTCTCAAACTGACCTTATTCAAGGTAAGAAGGTATTGTTCCAGTGTGTTGGTTTCAAGGACTTTCTTCCATGCAGAATAAATAGTAGAACTAAAATATCACTAAACCTCTAAGTAAGCAGATTATGTGCTGTCAACGGTGAATGCCCAATATATCCACAGCGCAAGAACTTAAGTAGACAGAGGTATTAACTGTCATTTTATTTGAAGGAAGCCAAAAAATCTTGTGCTCACATCATATTCCTTAAAACCTCATTCTTCCAGAATGGCTACCACAGTCCCAGGCATCACCTGGAGACAGAGACATAATACCCAGCAGAAGAAAAGAGTTTATTATTTTATGATCTCTCTGTTTGAAGAAGAAAAAATACAACACTTTCTTAAAAATTTCTAAGTGGACTTCCTCTTGTGTATTATTGGCCAAAATTGAATTACTGAATCATATGCCAACCCCAGGAAAATCAATTATTGGTGTGAGGAATAGAATTCCCCTGATCACCTTAGCCTAATCAATTTGTATCCATGACTTACACACCCTGCAACAAAGGAAAATGTAGGACTTGCTATTGATTACGTACACAAGTGTGCCTGATGTGGACAGCAAATAAGTTTGATGGTATTGTTTGTCATAAAGTTAAGTAACAGCATGAGTAATATGGCCCTCTGTGGAATTTCTTGGTGGCAGTTGAGCAAAATTTAAATTGCTCTGAAATGGAGGACTGTGATCACGGAAACAAGGTAGAGTTAGCTGATATAATTTGGTACAAGGAAATTAACCATGGTTGGGTTTTTGAGCCATAGATATGATAATACTCAGAAATATATGTAATAATGCAGCATTCCCAAATGATTCCAATGTTGAGTTCTCCACACAAATCATTTCATTTTCTTTCAGTTGGTGTTAAAGATATTGGAGTCCTCATTTGGAAGTCACTCACTATAGCATTTATGGGAAACCGAGCTCTGAATTACAAACATCGAGTTGACAAACGAAAATCTGGAACAGAACCCACTCACCAGCTGGCGACCACCCAGTATTATTTGACTTTAAACTTGATACTTGAACATGATTTTTTAAAAGAAACTTAAGCAAGTAAACATAAAAAAAAAAAAAAAAACCACCTCTCTTTGACTTGGTCTTGCAATGGGCTTTTTACCGCTTTGAAATGGAATACAGTTTTATTTCCAATAAACAGCAGCCGTAACAAAACTTCACACAGACACCTGGAGAAGGGGCATTTGATGAATGCAATACTATCATTGTTTATTATAGAATTATTTACTAGAATCTGGCAGAGATCCTAAACACCATTTACCATAACTTTGGCCAATTTTCCTAAATCCATACTTCAAACTCTACTGATATAATGGGCTGCTTTAGCCAAGAATGATAGCTCTGTTACTCCCCAAATATTACCAAAACAAAGGCGTGGTCACTTCCCACAAATCCACCTGGAGTATGAGTCACCAGCTGCCCCTTGTTGATATAAAGAGCTCGAAGAATGAACAGTTTTGAAATCCATTAGTGAATCACTGAGAATCCACTCAGTACAGCTTGGAGATCTCAACAGAAGCCAATAATAATTAAAGAAAGAAAAGCTCTGGGTTAAAGGAAAGCAAGCAATCCAGCGGAACCAACTAGAAAACATCAGCCAACTGCAGCGCCTTGCTGGAATTAGGGCAGACCACAGTCTAGTGCCTGCTAGAGCAATTGAAGGAAGCCCAGCTGAGAGAGAAGGCTTCAGTAAAGAAAATTAGGGAAGGTTTTATTTTTATGTGAAGTTCTTGTGAGAAGGATGTTAAGAGAAAGCATTATCTGTTATTATTTATGATTGTTGAGCCCCACAAGCAAGCCTTTGAGTTTTTATAAGCCCACATAGCATGTTTTTTTGTTTTTGTTTTTCCTGAGGGTAAACACTTTTATTTGTAACAGCATTGTCCATGGCTGTCAATGTATCTGATGGAAAATACCTGTCCATAAGCATGAAGGAAATCCATGATCTTCCCCTTTAATTTGCAGAACATTACATAGTATTTTTTTAAAAAAGATGCAAATAGCAGCCTACTTCTTTGCTGCTAAAGAGCTTTAATGGAATTTTTAGTGAATCAGATGTGTAAGGGCTGATGTCCTCCAAGCTGAGCTGGATCTCCCCAGTTCTTCCTAAGGTTCCTTTTGTGTCACATTCAACTCAACAGACAGGAAGCAACTCTCCTGCAGTGAAGGCCGCACAGTGGGCTCTGCTCCTAAATCCAAGGACACAGAGGAGCGCCTGTGTCCCCAAATCAGGAAGGCGGGCATCGGCGAGACCCAGTGTCACAGAGAACGAGCATTTTTGCTGCTACTGTTCTGTGCAAGTGATCACAGCCCAGATGTACAGTATGATTTGGAACCTCCACACTATTTAGCATCCCTTAATTTGTATCCAGTGTGCTAACTGACCTGGAAACATTAGAACCCCATTTCCAAGTTTCTCTTAAAAATCCCCAGGTCCCAACACACACCAACCACTTTCATCCTCAACAGGGCATGTTACGCCAGAGACAGATCCTTCTGCATGCATTTTGCCTTAATGCCAGTAAGAAAATTGATTTTTTGTTTCAGGATTTTTCAATCCAGAAGACAAAGAGATTAGTCAGCAGCTTTTAAAATGAAAGTTTCCAGGTGAGAGATTTCAACACTATTTTGTAGATCTGGTGAATTAAGATACATATTTTCAGTATTTTAGGAATTCAAATTCTAATCCTTTCCAATTCACCAACTCCCTTTATCCAAATCCATGGAATCAGAGTCTAATGAAAGGGGTACTTAGCATTTGATTCCAAGCTTTCCCTTACAACTACATTTACAAGAAAGTATTTTGAAGCTGAGAAAACTGACAGGTCCTGTGGTTGATCTGCACAGTTCTATTTCCTTTGGGCTCCAAATGTTAAAGCACATGCCCTGGCAATTCGGGCACCAGTTTTGAATGAAGACACCCAGCATCTTGCACCTGCCTGCCAATCTCCACGTCCTTTGTAGAGGACCGGGGTGGACATGCCCATCCCCTCCTGGGGAAGTCTGTTTACACTGCAAACTCCTGACTTCTGCATGGCGGTAGAGCTGATTGTGATACCTCTGTCCACCTATGCCAGCCCAGGTGCCTGACTTGTGTTGGGTTAACTATTCTGATAGCTTTGATATGGCCTTCCCACATGTGCCTTCTCCTACTGTGGCCGCTGTCACTCTGTCTCCACTCCCATGACACTTGGATGCTCCAGTGACACCAGCTCCTGCACAGTACCACTCTTCAGCAGCGTTCATATCAAACTGTGCATGTCTAGCTTATCTGGGGGAAGACACTGAAGAGAGGCAGAGGTGGAGACGTGAAAGAAGACAGCAAAATCACAGAGCTTCGCAAGAGAAACTGCTTGCTTAAAGATAATTTCTTCTTCTGATTACAAAAGTTACACATGCTCATTGTCAAAATGCTGGAAAATACAGAGAAGTTTAAAGAAGGAAGAAGTTACCATAATCATACTACCCAGCTAACATTTCGGTGTATTGGTAGTAGGGAAATTTCTGGTTGTCAAGGAGGAAGGTATATATCCCTAATCACAGAGGTTTTTTCATGCTCTTAGGTCCT
The DNA here is from genome assembly GCF_000001405.40 of Homo sapiens. Taxonomy (NCBI): domain Eukaryota; kingdom Metazoa; phylum Chordata; class Mammalia; order Primates; family Hominidae; genus Homo; species Homo sapiens. The sequence continues at coordinate 148,016,799 of NC_000007.14, forward strand.
AAGTTATAGCATTTTAATGGGAGATTTCTAAGACGGAAGGTATTTCTGGAATAGCATTCCTTCCCTTTCTTCTGCAGATCTGTCAAATTGTTCAGCTTTCTTGACTAATAGATGCTATGGATAGAGCATCCCTCTCTCTCTAAAAATCTCAAAAAAAGCAAGTCTTATTTATTCAGGATTTGAAGAGAAATATTCAGGAAGGATATTTCATCAAACCTGATTCATATATTATGCACTGTAATGATGCTAGACACAAAACACAAGATTTCTTGATAGATGGTCAGAATAAATTACACCAACTGCATTAGCTCAGCAGCAGTCCTGCCCGGATCTCAGCACCTGAGCTTCTCATCTGCGTATGGTTGCTCAGCTTGGTCACTGAGACATGCAAAAGGGAAATGGGCATTTTCCCTGAACACCTAAATCCTTTCCAAAATCTGTCAAAATGTTTACTAAAATGTAGCTTCTTTGTTTATCAGACGAACTGTGGTAACAGCAGTTATGAAACTTATCACAGTTCATCTGATAAACTACATTTTAGTAAACATTTCAAAGTGAAGCAGATATGAGAGAGAACAAAATTATTTGTGTTTACATGAGACTTGGAATTGTTAAAATTTTTATATCTAGCATACAAAAAGGCTGCTTATGTTAAAAATTGATAGTAACTAAATATATAAGACCAAAAGAATACTAATAATGTGAATTAAAATGAAATCTTAGCTTGGTTTATAAACTATGAAATTTGACTAAAATCTATTCTGTATATATGTTCTAGTTTTAGAATATAAACTAGAACTAGAATCTAAGTAGTAGCCAATTGGTAAGTAGTGTCTGACTGGGATCTAAACCAGTTCAGATTAAACCATTGCAACACTACTCAGAAAAGCGTATGGTCAAGATCTTCCGCTATGGAGATTAACAAGAAATGCCCATCTATGTAACAGTAATTTAAAAACTGATAGTGGTATATTACATTCCAGTGAATGACGTAAATAATAGCCTTTTTAACCCTCTTGCGAATATACATGGTATTTGAGAAAAACGTTGCTTCAGAACAGGTGAAAGAATATGCCTGGCCAAAATAAGTTCGGCTACCCAAAATGGTAATGGCTTAAGCCTTTTGGTTTTTATCTTTGTTAAAGGCAGCGAGTGACATTTTAATCTTCTTGTGCAGGTTTTTCTAAAACACAAAACGCTTTCTGTTAAAACTCGCCACAAAGGCAGAAAGGGAAAAGCATTCACAGATGCACACAGATTCCAAGAACTCTCTCACACTATCTCAGGAACTCTTACTGCTCCCTAGAAACTGTTTTTCATCAGAATGGGGAAAATAACACGACTGGTACCTGCAATTTCTGACACCAATTTCACATCTAACCTCTGTAGGTATTTAACGGACTCAGGGCCTAACTGAAACTGCTGCTAACTATTGATTTGTTGAGGTGTTCATCCCAGGTGGTTTATGGGGACTCTGTAAATATGGGCTGATAATAGTAATGGTCAAGCTCCCATAATTTCTTAATTTCAGTTTATTTATTTATAATATTTATGGTTGTAAGATCGAATCTGGTGATTATCTGTGCTGGGGGCAGAAATTTCATTTCTAAAGGATGGCGGTAAATATAAGCATGTTGTTGGTTGAATGTTCAAAAACATATTTCAAAAACCAAGTACTAACAGCTAAGGGGAAAAACTCACACAATGAACCAGAAGTGTATGAAACAAGGAATAAAATGGAAAAGGAGAAGGCATGAATGTTGGAGGGATTTAAGTTATGGATGAAACTACAGTGAACATTCAGGGTATGTTGGGAGATGAAAACTGAAGCATCCTTTTACTCGGTAGCAAAAGTGACCGGGATCAAGGGTCACTCCCGGATACAGGTATCCCGGAGCACCTCCACAATGGCTTCCAGCCCAGACCTTTGTCGTGGGAAGGAGTCCCATGCTCTCATTTTTGGCACAAACAGAGTTTGACTCTCACCACAAAACAGCATCAAACAATGTCACAGGCTGTGCTTCTCACAAGGTTTTTTGTTTGTTAAGTTCATTTTCCTGAACTCAAACATTGTGGGAAGAAGTAGGTCATAATATCCATTTCCCTCTAAATTGATCCAGAGCTTCCAGAAATCTGAAGACCAGTGAAGCCAAGGTTTCTTCCAAACATAGAGTTGTGTGAAATCACTATGTAAAACTGTCAGCATTATTTTGGTGGCAAGTTCTGTCCCCATCTTGGCTCTCCTCCCTGCCTCTCCCACAGCCTGGTACAGTCAGCTATAGAGTTCAGCCCTGAATACCTGCTGGATTTACACCTAGCAATGCATCTGTTGATCTCACTGATGTGAAAATCATTTTACAAAGAATTCCCACTGCATTTTCTTTAGCATGGCATTCACATTCCCCCATAGTGTGGTCCCAAATCACTCCTGGTCTTCATCTTCTAGGTTCCTCAGAGGGGACCTCCTAGCATCAGTCTGGGAATTCTCTGTCTCCTATGGGATCCAGGACCTGGACCACCCAGTGTCCTTCCAACAGGCCTGAAACCTTCCTATGTGCAGGTGTGGAATGCTGCTTTCGCTTCTTGCCTCCCAATATCTTATTGATTCTTCAGTTCCTTGTTGTAATCTCCCTCATTCAGAGTTGTTTTGTGTTTGTGTTTTGTTTTGTTTTGTTTTTTGAGACAGAGTCTAGCTCTGTCACCCAGGCTGTAGTGCAGTTGTGATATCTTGGCTCAATGCAACCACCCCCCAGGTCCAAGAGATTCTTGTGCCTCGGGCTCCTGAGTAGCTGGACTTACAGGTGCATGCCACCATACCTGGCTATTTTTTATATTTTTAGTAGAGACAGTGTTTCACTATGTTGCCCATGCTGGTCTCGAACTCCTGGCCTCAAGTGATCCGCCTGCCTTGCCCTCCCAAAGTGCTGGGGTTACAGGTGTGAGCCATCGTGCCCATTCTCAGGGTATTCTTTTTTTGGGGGGAGGGGTGTGAGGGGAGGGTGAGGAGAATGGAGTTTCACTCTTGTCACTCAGGCTGGAGTGTAATGGCGTGATCTCAGCTCACTGCAACCTCCACCTCCTGGATGAACGATTCTCCTCCCTCAGCCTCCCAAGTAGCTGGGATTACAGGTGCCTGCCACCACGCCCAGCTAATTTCTGTATTTTTAGTAGAGACAGGGTTTCACCATGTTGGTCAGTCTGTTTTTGAACTCCTGACCTCAGGAGTGGTCCATCAGCCTTGGCCTTCCAAAGTGCTGGGATTACAGACATGAGCCACCACACCTGGCCAGAGTATTATTTAATTCTCTGAGTAACCAGAAGCCAAAGGATATTGCTTCACCTTTAGTTGCCATGTAATTGAGGCATACCTCATCATCAGCAGTACACTTGGTTTTCTATACTGGATTACACACCTTTTGGAGGCAGGGGCTACTTTTATTCTTCTTTAAATCTTCACCTGCACTAGCATGCTAAAACAAGGAAAAGAAAGTTTTATCTTCTATACTGGAAACAAAGAAAAACAAGGGTAATTCATCTTACTTTTATCACTAGTCTCCGATTAACTACATGTTCAAGTTTACTGTATAGTATATCTATGTGATCTAGGCAGGCATATTTCCCCTCAAATATATAATATGGCAAAATAAAGTGCAAGTTGTGATTGGTGAAGATAAATGACTGAACTTTTACTATCATATTCTCACTCTGCTGATAAATCATCTTTGAGAATTCGTATTAATTTTGGTCAAGAAATACACAAGTTAAATCCATTTTATTCTTTTTTTTAACATTGGGAGGACTAAGTGAATAAAGAAGGAGTGAATTATATGATTGTCTACCCCACAGTTTCAGTAAAACGATATTTTTTCCTGCAATATATTTATGATCTGCCTTAAAACCATAGAATCTGGCTTAAGCCAAAGCAACTGTATCTTCCTTTATTTTTTAACAATAAACACCTTTAATTATCTTCCTTCCGACTACTTTGTTGTAACACACAATGTGTTTGTCTCCTGAGGTGAGCATAAAAAAGGAGCCCAGCATGACTTGAATGCTACCGTAATTAAAGAAAAGCTAAAAAGGTCAAAAACAAGAATGTGGTAAATCTTAAGCAACTCCCCAGAACAGGCGCCACCTGCCACTTTGTGCTGACACCGTCAATCATTGAATCGGTTACTGAATACTTTCTTGCATTTCTTCTTCTCCACCTTGTGCCCACGTTAAGCAGGAAGACATCATATTTTCATTAGCACCTGTTTTGTTTTTTCACCTTCTGTAGACTGTTGAGTGAATTTCTAATAATAAAGCCAAAAGGAAAAATAATGGCAATATGATTGGACAAGCAGTTTCAGAATCAAGGTAGGATGCCTTTTTGTTGGTGGAGGTTTTTTGTTTTTGTTTTGTTTTTGGACTTATTCTCCCTCATATCAAATAAATTTATTAAACACACCTGAACACTTGTTATGTGCCACTGTCGGCCACGTATTAGGGACACGGAAGAACAATAAGACATACTCCCTACCAAAAGAGGCTTATGGTTTAGAAGGAAGACACAGTCTTGTAAACAGGTAAGTAAAATAAAATGTGAGCTGCACTATGCTGGAAGTCAGCCCAGGGTGGCCCAAGTAGACCATAGCCAGTCTACATAAATAGGGAGACACGGGGGACAGCTTTCTAGATGTCCCTAACGCTGAATCCTAAAAGATGAGAAGCATTTCTAGGGTGCCAGAGTGGAGAAAACACCTGACTTGTGGGAGAACGGAAGGCCTCGTGTTCATTCAATGGATCAACTATCATTGGGCATCTCCACCTGCGAGAGACGGCGCTAGCCCCTGGGGATCCAGTCCCCGGTGAGCTGGAAAGCTACTCTGTGCTCTCAGAGGACTTGGAACAGAGAATGCAGACAGGGTGGCAGGAATGCAGGAATGTGCTCACAGTGCAGGAACCCGGTGGCTCGCAGAGAAGGGCACCAAACTTAGACCTGGGAGATCAGGACCCTCTCCCCCAAAACCTGGAGGATTGCTCCAAAGCTGTACCGAGTCAGTGGCGGAGGCCGGGTGAGCGTGGGGAAGGGCATCAGACACGGTATACCTGCTCCACCTTTCCCTTTTGTTTTGTTGTCACAAGAGGCACTACTTCGCTGCCTCCGTCTCCTCTGTGGGTGGAAAGGATGGACCCAAAGGAACAGAAGGCTGTGGCCACTCGACGATGGTTTTGATAGGGACTTATCTTGCTCTCTCTCCCTGGACACTCTCTTTCTAGGCCTGCAGCCTCTCTCCTCCCTTCCCATTTCCAAAGCCTCTGCCCCAACCTGATCCAAGTATTATATGTAAACCTGTCATTAGGGTTCTTTAAATCAAGGCTTTTTGATGACAAAAAGAGGGTTTAAAAAAAAAAATGTGGCTCACGCCTGTAATCCTAGCACTATGGGAGGCTAGGCAGGCAGATTGCCTGAGCTCAGGAGTTCGAGACCAGCCCGGGAAACGCGGTGAAACTCCGTCTCTACTAAAAACACGAAAAATTAGCCGAGCGTGGCGGCAGGCACCTGTAGTCCCAGCTACTCAGGAGGCTGAGGCAGGAGAATTGCTTGAACCCGGGAGGCGGAAGTTGCAGTGAGCCGAGATCGTGCCACTGCCCTCCAGCCTGGGTAGCAGAGGGAGACTCCGTCTCAAAAAAAAAAAAAAAAGAAAAGAAAAGAAAAAGAATCTGTAAGAATATCCAGTGTGGCTTCTGCCTCTGGAATAAGTAATAGTCTTAGTGACCATGGCTATGGGAGTACCCGGGTTCCATCAGTGTGCCCTGTGTGGTTTTGGTCTGGGCTGCATTGGCGTGGCCTGTTTTTTTGTTTTTGTTTTTGTTTTTCCCTTATTACTGTTCGTGGAGTGTTTTAGTTTGCTTTTTTGTTTGTTTGGTTGGTTTTTTTTTGGACTCTGCGAATGGATGTCTAATGCTCTCGTCTCCCTGGCAGGACCTCCTTCCTGTGTCTGCAGTTTCTCTTGTAGCCACACCGTCTGCCCGATCATCAGTGCTAGGAAAATAACGATGAGAACAGACCTTTCGAAGCCCGATTATCAGAAAGAGTGTCTTCATGCTTGAAATCTGAATATAAAACAGACGCCCCTGAAGTGCATCCCTGTGACACTGCCTGTACAGCACCGTTAAATATCTCATCGGCAGTAATAGCTTAAGACTACTGTGCTCAGTCACTTCTTTGGGTGTCACTCATAGCAATCCCCATCCCTGCCATCATCATTATCACACAGCACTGCCATAATGACAATTATAAAGATGTTAGAAAGCTGAGACAAGTCATTCTGAATTAAACCGCAGCTCCCATAGGTCCTCTGAAATTACCCGTTTCCAATATCTCCATTGTTTCCCTACCCAAAAGCAAAAAGGGGAGACAAATGTCTCTTGAGCGATGCACAAAATACATTATAAGCCTGGGAATAATCAAAGCTAACTGTGTTCAGTAGAGAGAGATGCACTGTGACTAAGTTTCACTGAATTTTAATGGCATAATTTTTAGCCCAGAAAGCAAGCTCATGTGTGCCGGAGTGATTAATGATACAGTTTATGCAGCTCATTGGTCATACTTAAATTAGTTTAAATATTCATCTGTTGTTTTGTTATAATGAATCTCCATGTTTCTTTTTATTTCTGTTCCCCTGAGTGTTTCCTCTTGTCTGGTTGGAGGATGTTTGCCTGAATTGGGAAAGAAATGCCAATAGCCCTGTAGGTGACAATGCACCCAGGCTGCTGAAGATCAGGGGAGATGAGGCAATAAACGCTTCATTTCACACTGTGAAATGCACACACAGCTGCACCAGCTTCTTGAGTGAGATGTCTTGGTGGATTCTGTGAGGTGCCAGGTCAGAGATTAAACTTACTGATTTGTGGCACATGAAGCCATTGGATGAAGTTGGATGCTGTTTGCTGTCCCTGGGACTTCCTTTAAAGTCCACACATCAATTTTTATACCAACTCCCTGAAAGTCCTCCTTTTATGAGCATTCATAATTTACATTTTGAGTTGGAAAGTCCTGTAACTCTACCTTCTGGGATTTTATGAATTTTCCTCCCAAATACAAAACTCTCTAGATGCTGAAATTGCATTTGTGGTGAAGAAGGGAAAGGCCATAAGAGTAACTTAATAAGACTTCATGTTACAGAACTGAAAGATCTTTCAAATTCACATAAAAGGAGGCCTGCACTTGACACTGTCCTGACTATATAACAACATCTAGAAGTAGACAGTGTTGCCTTTTTATGCTATATCCTTGGGAGTACAATTTACAAATAGTCTACTACACACTTCTTGCACTTGTGAATCACCCATATAGATCAACCTTTAAAGTGTAAAAAAAAAAAAAAAAAAAAAACTTTATAACATCCTGAGAATTAATCCTTGGAGAGCTGGCTAGATACAGAATGAAAAATTCCAGACACCACAAGTAGTTAGAGCTCAGCTTCCTGGATAAATCAGTTAATTTGGAAATTGTGGCCTCCATACCCGCTAGGCATGTTTGTTCATCCATTGTTCTCCTCCCTATCTCCTAGCCACAGTGAAAGAAAACGAAGTGTGGTGTACACACACTTCTAGCTATGAAAGCAGCTGCATGATACTGGAAACACAGTGTCTCCAAATGTTTCAGCCTTGGGGGCTTCCCTCATTATTACTATCTGAATAAAGTGCTTCAGTCCGCTATGATACTTTACTCTAGGAAACCCAGCTTTGTTCCTCACATTATCAATGACTTCCAGGAGTGTTCAGGAAGGACCCAACTTTTACACTCACTATTCAACATGTTATTACCATGCTGCTAATGTTTAGCTTTCTTCTACATTATTTGACCCCCAAAACAGACACTATAACCCAACTAATATAATTCTGTTATAGCATGTTACAAGTTTTTAGCAAAGGTGAGAATCATCAAATTGCATACGGGATGTTATTATTCTTCATATCCATCAAAGTACAGGAAGTCCTTCACAGGCAGCCATCTTTTTCTCTGGGCCACACCAGAGAAGCCCCCTGCCTTCTCCTTTCTTTGAGTTTCAAGGACTGAACTTCATGTCTCACAAGCAGTCAGAGGTGGAAGCAAATGAAATTGCCTTTGCAAAAATTCTAACAGTGAGAGGAATCTCACCTGACTCCATCTTGCTTCTAACCTCACAAGCTAGCTGACTTTGTTAGCTTTAAAACAAAAATGATACATCCCTTCCTGAAACTAACCCCTCCTTGCTTAGGGACTGAAACCATGTTTGTAAGTCTAATGAAAGGACATAAGATTAGGATTATGGGAGGGGCCTGAATTCTGCTAAGATATATGCATAGTTAAACAATAACCAGCTATTGTTCCAGAGGTACAAGATTTGTAACTTCTCCAACTGCTCCTTTAGATAATATCCATATGGTCAAAACCTAAGATTGGGCTTTGAGGTATTTTCCAGACTTTTGCATTTGGTTTGACCAGCTGATGCCACCTGAACCCAAGACTCATACCAGGGAACTGGCTCAACCAGTCCTGTGACCTTCATCCAGATACTGACTCAGTGCACAAAGACCATTTTGGACATTCCTATGATTTAATCCCCAGTCAATCTGCAGCACCCATTCCCCATCCCCCTACCCACCAAATTACCTTGAAAAACACTAGCCTCCAAGTTTTACTATCTCTCATCCTTCTCTTGGCTGGCCCTGCAATAATTAAGTTCTTTCTTTGCTGCAATACCTGCTATACTCAATGCATTGACTTTTCTGAGCAGCAGGCAAGATTAACCCATCAGGCTGCTATACAAATACTTCCTGTTACCTTAGTACTCAAAACAATCTATGGTCCCTCTTCTCAACCTTTCTTTCTTGATTATTTAATCTCTGTTACCATTCTTACACTTACTTACTTGCAATAACATAATACTTACTCTTTCTGTAATAACTTGCAGGTTATAATTGGATCATGAGTGACCTCTCCCCAAATTCATTTATCTCATCTTAAGCCTAATGAATGAAAAAATTATCCATAATGAGAGAAAACAGCAGGATCCTTTTCATAAAGAGATGTTTGAAAACAAGTATTTTTGGAAATAATATATTAAGATGCATATGTGGCTATATGACCGATTCTAATGTGTTTAGGCCTTGCTAATATATCGGTATGGGACAATCTCCTTCTTAAAATTGTCACACTGTATTGTTTGCTTCAGTCCAGGATAGCAGGACTTTTTGACCTGAAAGGAAAAGGTAAGGCAAGGGCAGAGGTTGGACCCTTGTCCCTTAGGACAAAGCAGGCAGATTTACATCACTGCCTTCCAGGAAATGACAGCTTACCCCCAAAAGTAAAGAAAAAGTGTACTTTAAAAAATACTAGCCAGGTGTGGCGGCTCACACCTGTAATCCCAGCACTTTGGGAGGCCGAGGCAGGCAGATTGCTTGAGCTCAGGTGTTCAAGACCAGCCTGAGTAATATAGTGAGGCCTCGTCTCTACAAAAAAAAAATTTTTTTTAAATTAGTGTGATGGTGCAGGCCTATAGTCACAGCTACTCAGGAGGCTGAGGTGGAAGGGTCACTTGAGTCCAGGGGGTCAAGGCTGCGGTGAGCCATGATTGTGCCACTGCCTTTCAGCCTGGGTGACAGAACAAGACCCCGTCTCAAAAATATATATATGTTTTATACTTCTCACTATAGAAAAGCCATTTAAAGCATTCTGTGTAGGGGGAATAAAGTGAGACACAACCTGAGTATTATAATGAGCACTGAATTTGTAGTAAAAAGAGTAAGTCAGATTCTTGATTTGCCTCCTGCAGGCTTTGCACTTTGAAAAAATTATTTACATTCTCTGGGCTTTGGATCTCTTGTTTTTAAAATTCAGAGTTTGAACCAGATACCCGCCCACCTCATACAGCTTGAAAACTCTACAAGACTCAAGTTTAAAACTTCTGCATTCCAATAAAAGTTAGAACCCTAATCCTCTTGCTACAGGCTAGCAAGATTTCTCGTATGAAAATAATGACACTGCAAATCAGTACCTGAGGTCTACCAAAACCTCATGTTGTCAAAACCAAATTGTCATCTAACTATTTGAAACCCGCCACAACCCTTTCTCGTACCATTAATGTCAAAGCACACCCTCTGAGCAGAGGCAGCAGTCACTGTTTTTTGTTGTTGTTGTTGTTTTTTTCTGAGCTTTCTCACATACTAACAGAGGCTTTGATGCAAAATATAGAGCAGTTTCCGACCTAAGGGACTTTGGACCAACAGATATCATGCTAGCCCTAATTTTTTCTGTGGGTTTTCACACGACTGTGTGTGAGAAAAGCAAGAGATTTCAGATCTAAACAAGACCCACTATACGAACTAATGAAAATATTGGGTGTGTGGTCTACAAAACAGCCTAAATAAGTACTTCTCTCTGAAAGATCCCTTTCTCCATAGGCCTATTCAGATTAATATCTAGTTTTCTTCACATTAAAGTGTATATGACAGTTGTCATGATAACTTAGTGAAAAGTTTAGCCAATAGAATCTATGTAGCACTTTTAGGCTTCTCCTGCTGTCTGAATTTTTTCTTAATTTTCTTTCTCTCAAATTCAGCCCACCTAAAGTTTTTGACAGTCTGTTTACCAATCAGGAAAAGATTTAATTCTTATTTGTCTTAAGGCAGACATCCAGGATGGACAGTGATTATGGGTTCATGGAATGTTACAACTGGAAGAGTTTATAGGATTCATCTGGTCCCTCATTTTCCTACTTGTCAAATGAAAACAATCACCAGGGAATGTGTTGAAAATATAGATTTTTAGTCTCCACTCCAACCTGTTGGGTCAGAATCTCAACAGACACAAGAGAATCTGTACTTTTAACAATCATACCATCAAGCAAATTTGAGAAACGCTGATATAATCCTATGATTTTATTTTGTAAAGAGGTTTATTTTGATTATACATGGTCATATATGAAAAAAAGAAAGGATTTCATAGCCTTTCGTGAAAGAGTTGACTGCTTCATATCAGTTATAAAACATAAATTGAAAATTATTCCTGAGGTTGAAACACTCAACTTGGGCCTCTCAATTTCTGAAACTCTTGACTTTGATGATCGTAAAATGACAATGATTATTTTATGTTAATTACAGAAGTCACCTTCCATTCTCTCCCAACCTCAATAACACCTATAGATGATATCAAATCGAGGCATGTAGAGCCACACACTATTTTAAAAATGTAGCATTCCTTCATACTCATAAACATTCTCTTAACCTTAACATATGAAATAATCTCCAAATTCTCACAAAAATGAGTGCCCACCTGAACTAAAGTTTTTTTACACCTTTAAAAATGTAATTGTACAGACGAAATCGGTGTCATAAGGTTACTTTCACTAAAATAGTATATCCCTCTAAAAACAACTTTCACCCATTTGCAATCACTGGAAAGTCATAGAAGGTGACTAGAGTAACTGATTTCTCTCAAGAGCAAATTCATGCTCTCCAAAGGAGATCAGGGTCTGTTTAGAAAACTGAGGTCTAATAATCAAGGTTGCCACCTGGTAGATCTCATGTTCCACACATTTGGATGACTTGGCTGATTTCAGGAATATGGGAAAAATCAGTTTAACCCAGGCTCTCTGAACCAATGTCTCAGATCAAACTGATGACCCCCGGACAGCAAAAATGTGACCAAGGTGGAAGGATCACTTGAGTCCGGGAGGTCAAGGCTGCAGTGAGCCATGATTGTGTCGCTGCCTTTCAGCCTGGGTAACAGAACAAGACCCCGTCTCAAAATATATACATATGTTGTATACTTCTCAGTGTAGAAAAGCCATTTAAAGCATTCTGTGTAGGGAGAATAAAGTGAGACACAACCTGAGTATTATAATGAACACTGAATTTGTACTAAAAAGAATCAGGCTTAGCCTTCACTTCACAACCCAGGTTCACATGGGTCCTTCCTGTGCATCCCAAGGTCAGGTTTAACCACATCAACCTCAAAGCCTTCCAAACAGAAAGCATTTGGAAACAACACCATCTCCCCAGATCATTCTACAGTATGAAGCCGTGAAACTGATGGCTCTCGGTTCCCCTATTCCTGGAACACAAGTCTTCAGTTTCAGATTTGGGGGAAGAGAAATCATCATAGTATGACAATTGGGAGAAAATTACGTTTTTGTTTTCATATGTCTCCAAATAAAATCCCAATCATATTTTGTACAAAATTTCCATTTTTCATTATTAAAATTTCATTATTTTCAGGCAGCCATTGAAAAAGATTGTGCCCTACCAGAATCTGGATATCCTTTTGGGCAACACACTTTTAACCTCTCTTAGGAGATGTTAATTTGAGTGAGTTTTCACCATTCTATCTACTGCATTCGTAAATTTCCCTTTTTGATTATTCTAGTCATGTAACAGTGAGCTCAGCAAAACAAACACACGCACAACTCCAAAGTTCTATGCTTAATGTCAGTGATAAATTTCACCAAGTAGCTAGAAAAGCAGCTATAATAAAGAATATTCTAATTAGTCTTAGAGGCATTATGTGGCAGAAAATATGGAATTTTTTTTCTTATGCCGAGTTTGCTAATTGCCCCCAACAATAGGTGTGAATCTCTTTTGTTATACTTGCAGAAAATATATAGGTTTGACTTCCATCTGGGACACTCTAGAGAAATGAAGGAGTTGCATAAAACTTTTAATGCTGTGAACAGCTAGACACAAGTTACATAGCTGCTGAAATGAAACTATACAACAATTTCTCTATATAAACACATTCTGAAAACACGTTGGGTAAATGGAGATATTGTTGCCACCCTAGAATTGATGGTTTCCATAAATATCAGCATAGCATCCATACTATCTTTTAATTACAATTTTAAACCTGCGAATATAATACCTTGACTCGATGGTAGTCTCAGAGAATGTATGACTATATTTTATTCCACCACATATAAATTTGTAGAATAGGGTCTTAGTGCTTAGCTCTGTGAGAACTATCTAACTGTCTGATGATAAAAGTTGAGGAGTTGTTTCTGTGACCAAATATGAACATAAGACCAATTATCTGCAAATACTCCTGTAAGGTATATTTCCAGTACTGTTTTATGTTTGGCAGGATTGTGGTGGAGAAGAACAGGGAGATGTTCTAAGTGTTTAAAATTATTTTTACATCCTAGAATCAATGTCTTCTTAATATCATACTCTCTGGTTGGAAATCTTCAGAGGACAGACACTCAGTGAATAACCTTTAACTAATTTCCAACCCATTTGAGTATGCCAGGAAAATAGCATCTTCCAAGTTCTAGTCTAGTTGTTGTATCTGTCTGTGTTGCTTTCCGGCTGCTATAGCCCAGTTAAATTACCAAGTGCTGCTGATCCTTTGGAGCTTTTCTTAATCCTCTTTTGACCTCTCTAATTTGAATTATTCTGTGTCATCAACAAAGATGTAACAGTTAGGTCTCTGTGAAATCACAAACTAGAATTGCAATTAGAGTTTCTTAATCGTTGTGCATATTGTATTGTTGCATGGGGAAAGAAAGTTTTGGAATTTAATTAAAAGAAAGGGGAATTGTCAATGTACTTAATATGCCATTATATTTTTTCTTTTAAAATATGGAGTTAAAGAAAAGTTTGATTGTCTTTAATAGTTGCAGTTATCTACCAATGGGGACTACTGAATACATATGCTGGGGAAATTCAATGTCAAGGAATAATGTATGCTTGAGGAAAGTGTCATTAAAAAAGAATCAGAGGATTAGGGATTCTCTAAGTTTTTAAAAATATATATATTCTTAGTTCTTCCGGTTCTGGGCCCATTCCTTTGTTTGTAGAGTTACAAAAAACATGATTGTTTGGTAGTAATTTTCTTTATCCAGCTCTTTTTTTTTTTTTTTTTGGCAGGTGGTAAAGTTTATTCTTGTAATTTCTTGAGAAGCGTACAGCATATTTTCATTTAGATGAAGTTCAAAAACAAAAATAAACTATTAAGTGAGTTAGGGCTACAAAATGTGGTCAACTATAAAGAATATCAAGGGAACCATAAACCTGAAATCTGGGAGAGCAGTTTCATCTGAGTCAGGAGGAAATAAGTGGATGGAATCAGGCGGAAGCACGTAGCGTAAAAGAAAAATTGCACCAGACACTCATTAAAAATGGCAGAGAGACTTTCTTTGAAACGATTGTAATATGGATTAAGACTATTGCAGTAGGGGAGAGATTGAACTAGACTCCATTGGCACAAAAGACTGGAAAGTTTTCAAGCATGAAGTGAGCCAGAGAACAGGTACTGGAAGATGGTGGGACGATGTGATTAGGCCATCTGCATTTCCTAATTGGCACTTCCAGAATTTAGGCTCCTTACCCTTCCACAGAGACTGAGAGACTGGGGCCCTCCCTTCTTGATAACAACATTTCAAAGGGATAGCTCCCGGGTCCTTAAGAAAAACACTCCTGGGCTGTAAAAGGTTTACCTCTCAAAGGGCAGAGTAAGAATTTACAATTGCAAGTTTTCTAATGTAAGTGCTCTAAGAAAAGAGAAGTCAAAGGCCTAGAGTCAGGAAGAAAGCTGTCTGAAGTTTAGTCAAGCTGAAAGGAACTTAAAGCCTCCTTGGTCAACAGTAAGCTTCAGTGATAATGCTGAAGTCTTGTTTTCTAAAATTAGGTGGGAAGTCCGCTGGTCATTGTATCATGACACCTTACACCTTACACATACTTTAAACATTTTCTTTAGTATTTGGTAGAAACAGAAATACTACTTAAGTGCTACTTAATAGAAAGTAAATCAATAGTATTCAACAGAAGCAGAAATGTATTTAATAGCACTAAATAGAAGTATTAATAGCATCCAGTAGATACAGAAATGTTCGGCCCAGGGTCAGTGGTGTTGCCCAGGGGAATAGCCTTCCTGGGTAACATACGCTGAGATTGCTGAGTGGACAAGGTATTTCCATGTGCCGAATTTACACAGTGCACCTCTTTCCTTTTTCCTGGCTGCACTCGGTCTCTCTGAAGTGAATGGCAGTATTTTTACCCTCGATTTACTGAGGAGGAGACTCAGTCAGAGAGGACATTAATTGTTTCTTCCTAATATCACAATAAATTCTCATTCCCTAAGGCTATGTCACTCCCTAGAACTAAGTTATCTACTTAGGGAAGATCATTCGTCACTGCCAGGTCTCCAGGGTAACATCAAGGCTTTATTGTTGCAAGTCGACAAATCGCCTCCCATCTGTCTGCCCTGACTCTGTGACTGCAGCCGCGCGGTGCCCTAGATGTTTCCCCAGTGGTCTGAAAGAATTAATGTGCCTCCCTAAACATCTAACTTAATGCTAGGGAGGGGCTTAGGCAATGGGGGAAATCCGCCTGGAAGAGATGTTCTGGATGTCAGTAGGTTGTGCTAATCTGGCTGTGGTCATGGCTCTATTGGGGAGACATTGACAGTCCATCTATGTCTCACTGAAAGATCTTTGTGATATCTACAGGGGCACTGGGGAACTAACATTTCAAGAAAATAATAGCGCCAGCAGGTACAGATGGTGTCTCAGACAAAGTTTCTGGGCTCTCCCTGAAGCTTGACATCACATCAGTGTGTGTGCAACTCTGCATGTGGTTGGTGAGTACAAGGGCAAGAGACAGAGAGGGTAGGAGTCAGACCGAAGGAGCTACCGTGCTGGAGCCCAGTGAAAGGTGCCAGGAGAACTCATGGCCTCTCTGCTCAGATCTCAAAATCAGAGGAAATGACAAAGAACCAGAAGAACAAAGGAGAAGTGACATATGGGAGGAGACACCCAAGGGAAACGTTCAAGGTCCCAACATGACACCTTATTTGCAGAACATCCCCCAAAACAAAGAAATCCTCTGCACTTGTTCAGAGGATTTCTGATCAACAGCAGCCAACCCACAGAAGCAGCAGCCCTTGGGCGCTAAGCAGAAGAGAGAACCAATGAGGAGCCATTCACCTCACCTGCTGACGCGAAGGCTGCTTGCCAGTTTTAGGGGTTTTCTATGTTGATGAGCACTTTGGATTGTTCTGAGAAATTCCCCCTCAACACAAAACACACTCTTTAATGAAGAGATCCCATATTCCTGGCTCAAAAATTTGACCCTTGAATCATTTATATCATATCATTTTGTTGTAGTCCATGAATTCATGAAAGGCACAGAGTGACCCAGGGCTGGATATCAGCCAGGTTCCACGCAGACAGAGTGACTGGGATGACTGGATCCCAACACTCGGTGACTCTCCCATTCACCAAGCTCCCTAGTGGTCTAGAATAATACCCAGCCACACACCTAGCGAGGGCTCATAGATCTTAAAAAGTTAAAGAACTACTGCCACTGAGCAGATTTTTCATGTCTGTATCTGCTTGCCTGCCAGATTTCCTTCCTCTTCCATCTCATTGCTGAATTTAAAAATACTTCTAAGTCTATATACATTATAATTGGGTAAAATAAGAAATTCTTCGTAATTTAGAAGATGTATCTCTTTCCTGAAGACTTCCTCCTACTCCACCCCCAATCTCCAGAGACACATTTTTACCCTTAAGATCCTTTTTTTTCCTTTATTTCTTCTAAAAAAAAAAAATGGGATACATGTTCAGAACGTGCAGGTTTGTTACATAGGTTACATGTGCCATGGTGGTTTGCTGCACCTATTGACCCATCCTCTAAGTTCCCTTCCTCTACCCGCCACTCCACAAAGGCCCTTGTGTGTGTTATTCGCCTCACTGTGTCCCTGTGTTCTCAATATTCAACTCTTACTTATGAGTGAGAACATGCTTAATCCTGAGATTCTGAGCAAGACAACCTCCTTTAGAGATGTCTATTGCTTGGAATGTTTTAATCTGTTAGATTTTTGACTGCACATATTAGCTTTAAGAAATTAGAATTGAGCATTAACATGTTCAGTTTGTTTTCACTATTAATTTCTCCATAAATTATGTTAGATTGCATTTTTTATAGTATGTGCAAGTGTATGTGCATATACGTATACACACAGAGAGAGGCTTTGAGCTAAGGATGGTGGATTGCCCACATCTGTTTAAATCTCCCTACCAGGAAACTAGCAGCAAGCATATTACTTCTTCTTACCCCCTCCTATATTCCTGCCAAGGAGGGAATTTAAAAACTCTTTCAAGGAGAAACAGGTAGCCAGTGATCATCAAACATTAGAGAAAGCATTCACCGTGACAGAGGCAGGAAAAAGAAAATTCTAAAAGAAAAACTCTAGAATAAACAAAGACATAGTAGGAATCATAAAAAAACTGTTAAGTGAGCAATGCTGACATGCCTGCTCCTGGTACCATTATTAGCAGAAAAGTAGATACAAAATGCTTTGATATAAATGAGACATCTATATCTATCAGGTTAACATAGAGATAAAGTGAACAGATGAATTTCAAGTGATAGAATTTCCTGTGTGTAGCACCCACATTAGAGGTTATAAGAGGATAAAATTTAAAGTAAATTTGGAATCACCCAGTCTTACGTCCTCATTATCAGGGCTATGGTTTAATTGTTCCCCCCAAAGTGCATGTGTTGGAAGGTTGACCCCCAATGCAGGGATATTGGGAGGTTAAGCCTAATGGGAGGTGTTTGGGTCATAAGGGCACCACTCTCATGAAGGGATTGATGCTGTTATCTTGGAAGTGGATTCATGGTCTTGGGAGTGTATTTCTTATAAAAGCATGAGTTTGACCCCCTCTTGCCTTCTGCCATGTTATGACACAGCAAGAAGGTCCTTACGAGATGCCAGCACCTTGATCTTGAACTTCTGTGCTTTATAAATTACCCAGTCTCAGGTATTCTGTTACAGCAGCACAAAACAGACGAAGACAGAAAATGGGTACCAGAGAGAGCAGTGTTGCTATAGTAAATACCTGAAAATGTAGAAGTAGCTTTGGAACTGTATAATGGGTAGAAGCCTGGAAAATTTGGAGGAGTAGGCTGGGAAAAGCATGCATTGCTATGAACAGAACATTTAGGGTAATTCTGTTGAGGGCTCAGAAGAGAAGAAATATAGGGGAAGTAGAGATTACTAAGTTGTTGTGATCAGAATGTTGGTAGAAATATGGACAATAAAGGGCATTCTGATGAAGTCTCAGACAGAAATGAGGAATAGCTTATTAGAAACTGGAGTAAAGGCCATTCTTGTTATAAATTGGCAAAGAACTTGGCTGAATTGTTCATGCCCTAGGGCTTTATGGAAGGCAGAATTTAAGAGTAATGGACTCGGATATCTGGTGGAAGAAATTTCTAAGCAAAATATTGAAGGAGTTGCATGGTTACTTTTAACTGCATATAGTAAGATTAGAGAGAAGAGAAATGATTTAAAGACAGAACTTATAATTAAAAAAGAAGTAGAGCAGAAAGATTTGGGAAATCTGTGGCCTGGCCATGTAATGAACAGCCATGTAAAGGTGCTGCCAAGCAACCCTTTAATAAAGGGATTAGTACAGCTAGAAAGAAGCCAGGTGCTATTTATCAAGACAGTGGGAGAATTACCCGAAGGTGTTTTGGAGATCTCTGAGGCTCTCCCTCCATCACAAGCCCAGAGCTCTAGGAGGGCAGAATGGTTTCAGAGGAGAGTCTCAGAGTGCCCTCCTTGGTTTCTCTGCCCAGGGCGGCCTAGGGACTCTACTCCCTGCATTCCAGTGTAGCAGTCCTCGACCACTCCAGCTGTGGCTCAAGTGGGCCCAGGTGCAGCTGGTGCTGGTGCTCCAGAAAGTATAAGGGTAATCTTTGGTGGTACCTATATGGTGCTTATTTTGTAGGCACACAAAGTACATTAGCTGTGGGGCCATGGTAGCCTCTACCTAGATTTCAAAGGATGTGTTGGACAGCCTCAGGGCCCAGGCAGAGACATGGTACAGACAGAAGTCATAGCAGATTTCCCACTATGGCGATGCCTGGTGGAGCCGTGGGGGTAGGGCAAACCCCACAACCCTGACCCCAGACCTATAGAGCTACTAGCATGTAGCCCCAGCCTGGGAGAGATGCAGGTATGAAACTCCAACCCATGAGAGCTCCTATGTGGGCTGAACCCAGCAAAGCTATACGGGTGAGGCTGCCTGAGACTTTGAGGGCCCAACCTCAACTCCAGTGTGTTCAGCACAAGAAGTCAAACTTTATTCTGGAGTCTTAAGATTTAGTGTTCACCCTGTTGGCTTTTTGGACTTACCTGAGACCAGCTACCCCTTTTTCCCTGCTTATTCGTCCTTTTCAAAATGGGCATGTCTATACTATGCCTGTTTTAGTTCTAGGATTATATTTTGGAAGCACATAACTTGTTTAACTTCACAGGCTCATAGCTAGAGGGAAATTTGCCTCAAGTGAATCATGCTGTTAGTCTCAACCATTTCTAATTTAGATAACATTCTGGACTTTGGACTTTGAGTTGGGGCTGGGATGAGTGAAGAGTTTAGAGTCTATTGAGATAGATTGAATATATTTTGCATGTGAGAAAGACATGAATTTGGTGGACCAGGGATGAAATGCTATAATTTGAAACTGTTCCCCAAAGTTCATGTGTTAGAAACTTGATCCCTAATTCAGCAGTGTTGGGAGGTGGGGCCCAGTGGGAGGTGTTTGGATCATGGTGGCACTGCCCTCATGAAAATATTAGTGCCATTATCTTAGAAGTGGGCTCATGGTTTCTGGGGCGAATTGCTTATAAAAGGATGAATTTGGCCTCTCTTGCTCTCTCTTGTGATGCTTTCCATGTGATGCTTTTCCACCATGTTATGACACAGCAAGAAGGCCCTCACAAGACACGGATGCCTTGATCTTGGATGTCCCAGGCTCCAAAGGGACGTTTTCATTCCAATGGAATGAAAAACAATTCCATTCTTTATACGTTACTGAGTCTCAGGTATTCTGTTATAACAGCACAAAGTGGACTAAGACGAGCAGTTATGTTATTTACCCATAATCATATAATATATTAGCTGCAGAATCAAGTCTAGAATTCTGATTCCTAATTTCTAGTCCCATGTGATTTCTATTACCTAACTCCATAAAATGGATGGAAATGTCTGATTCTATAAGGAATCTCAAAGTTCCACAGAGTCAACATATAGAACACATAAAGCCAACTTTATGTGTTTTTTTAAATGTAAATGTGACTGATATCTAATAGCTAAAAATTCTTATCAAATAGCTAATTGTTACATAATTAGCACAAGTGGTAATAATTCTAATTACTTTCTTTCAGATTTTAGAAGAGCTATGTTGAGAAGATTTGCTAGGCCTCTTTAAAATTTTATCCTAGGAAGTTTTAAATGGGGGCTTTACTTTTCTCTTGTTAAATTTTCCTTAAGCTCAGAATCCAGTATTGCCCACTGATCAATATTTTCAAAGATAGATGGCATAGCACTCAAACATTTGAAGACATTACTAAGGCCTTGTCTTGTGAGTTTTCAGAAAGCAGAAGTCACTTATATCTTGCTCCCCTCCCCCATCATCTCAAACTATGTCGAAATCCTTCCAAAATGGCAATCTTCATGTAAAGAATTATTTAAAAGGAGCAGCCATTGGCTTCTGACTTAATATAATGGAAGGAAATTATAAGGCAGATAGTATGTGTATCAGACTGTCTCTGGGCCATGTCCAATCCGCAGCTGTGTGCCCACTTGTTGCTTCTCTTGGTTTGTAATAAATTTTAATGGGTTACATCTAGGTCAATAATAAAAAATAAGCACAATGATCATTCAATTCACTGAACTCTAAGTCTAGCTACTAGTGTTCCAACTCGTATAAAATCTGTGTTGAACTATAAATACAGTAGTCCCCCCTTGTCCGTGGTTTTGCTTTCTGCAATTTCAGTTACCTGTGGCCAACCATGGCTTGAAAATATACAGTATTTTGAAAGAGAGAGAGAAGAACCACATAACATAACTTTTATTACAATATATTGTTATTATTTTTCTATTTTATTATTCTCATAATCTCTTACTGTGCCTCATTTATAAATTAAAGCTTATCATAGACATGTATGAATAGGAAAAAAACATAGTATACACAGATGATTCTTGATTTACAATGTTTTGACTTAAAAATTTTCTCAGCTTTACAATGGTGGGACAGCGATCCATGTTCTTTGACTTACAGTAGATTTATTGGGATATGACCCCATTGTAAGTGGAGGAGTATCTTTTAGGATTTGGTACTACCTGTGGTTTCAGGCATCTACTGGGAGTCTTGGAACATATTTCCCATGGATAAGGGGGAAACTACTGTACAATTGTAGGACTTCAGTATGTAATTAGGAAAAGAAAAATTAATTTGTTTTCATAAACAAATAGATCATTATAGTTTACATCTGTAAACAATCATGGTATTCTTCTGTCAAAACCTTTCCATATCTTCTTATTAGTTACAAAATACAATCTAAACTATAGAGCATGGTCTTCAAGGCAATTCAGTCTGATGCCTCAACCTGTCCATCAACCCCATCAACTGTATTGTTTCACTTCAACCCCAGATGCTAATCACTCCATATCATCCAGACTGCCTTGAACGCTGTATGCATTTCATGAATCTGTACCTTTCCCAAGCTGCTTCCGCAGTTAAAATTCTCTGATCCTTTGAGACTCAGTTCAAGTATCTATGATCCTAGGAAATCTCTTCAACACCCCCTCTTTGTCCCCTCTCGTCTCAGCAGAATCCATTGTTTCTTCTTCATTAAAGTTCCCATAGCATCTAATTCTATTTTTATGAAAGCATTTCTCAGTCACACCTTTTTTGCCATTTCTGTTTCTGTTTCCCTCCCCAAATGGTGAATCACTAGAGGAAGTCAAGGATCATCTTATAGTATCCTTGTGTCTCAAGAGTTTAGTCTACCCCTCCACATGTTTGGTACCCATTAAATGTTTCTTTAATTGGATTTATGTAAGAGCTTAAGAGTATTTCCCATGATTTCATTTGATGCCCATAGAAACTCCATTAAGCAGGATGGTAACTGACTCCATTAAAGCAAGTAATCCAACTGTTTTAGGCTTCTCCAAAGAGAGAGAGAGAAGCAATAGGATGGATGGATAGATGGATGGATGGATGGATGGATGGATGGATGGATGGATGGATGGATAGATAGATAAGGAATTTATTAGGGGAATTGGCTCATACAATTATGAAAGCTAAGTCCCACAACAGGCCCTCTTTTTGTTAAATCCTTTTTGTATTAGTTAAGGGCCTCCAGAGAGACAGAACCAATAGAAGATATACATCTGTATCTGTACATATGAGAAGAGATTTATTAGGAGAATTGGCTCATGCAATTGGGAGGTTGAGAAATCCTACGCTAGGCTCTCTGCAAGCTGGAGAACCAGGGAAGCTGGTAGCATGGCTCAGTCTAATCTGAAGGCCTCAGAACCGGGAAAATTATTGGTGTAACTCTTAGTCTGAGGCTGAAGGCCTGAGAACCCAGGTGGCCATTATGCAAGTTCAAGTCCAAAGGCCAGACAGCCTGGAGTTCTGATGGCCAAGGACAGGAGAAGGAGAGTGTCAGCGCTCTGGGAGAGACAAAAAAAGAATTTGTCTTCTGCCTTTTGTTATCTCTGGGACCTCAGCAAATTGGATCATGCCTGCCCACATGAGGGAGGATCTTCCTCACTCAGTCCACCAATTCACACCCCAATCTCCTCTGGAAAGACCCTTGCAGACACACCCAGAAATAATTTTTACCAACTCTCCAGGTATTTCTTAATCCAGTCAAGCTGACTCCTTAATTTAACCATCACAGCAACTGGGCACCAAAAACAGATTAGTGATTTACCTCCAGGTCATGTGGTCAGTCAATGGCAGGACCAGTACCAACCCCTAGGTTTTCCAATCCTCCATCGCATACTTTGCACCATCGTTGCTCAGCACCTACTGAGAAGTGGGGACATGGTAAAGAGCTAAGGATGCTTGCAACCCAATATTCATGTCACTTCTTGAGGTTTCAGCAGCTTTTTCATGCATGCATTGGCTCCATGGTCACATACAAGAACCCTCTGCTTTCTCATCTAAGAGTTTCAGAGATGCCAAAGTAACAGGATTGAGGCTGAACAATCACCTTCATTTCTAATGTTTTTCCTCACAAACCAATTCAGAAATTCAGAAAACATCTTACTATAGTAGTTGTTTCCTGAATTACTAAATGGAAGCTTTATTAGGAAGTATTCTCTGTTCTTTCTACCAAGGCAGCTTTGTTCCTTGGGCATAAACAAAACTATCCCTTCTCTCTCTAAATTGACCACAGAGCCAACCTTATATAAATTAGAACTTGTTAGTTTTGGCTTCAGATGCCGGCTCTTTCTCTTGAGGTTTTCACCTACTTAAAATTCACTTGTTGCCCTTTAAATTCACATCTAGCTTAAGGCAAATGTTTGAATTTCTAAAATAAAACCATGTGCCCAAAATAAGCTTAGGGAAAAAATAACTGAAATAAATGGAAAATTCTCCAAAATAAGCAAAAGCATTAAAATGATAATGCTTTAACTTTCTGAACTAAACTGAAAATAATGTATGCTCAAGATAAGCTTACAACCACGGAGAGATCTCTCTTCTACAAAGCCTTAAAGAAAAAGCAGGAAATTACCTCAGATGAAACTTCATTACATGGCATTTCCATTCCCAGGATCCATCCTCAGACACGTTGACTTAATTGCTCTGGAAAAGAGCCCCAGCATCAATATTTTTCAACTTTCTAGGTGGTTCTAATGTCGGTCACAATCAAGAAATGACATGAACAATATTCTGAATCATTTCAGTAGATGTTGACTGCATGACTGTGCTTTCTACCAGTCCTATCCCACACCCCGCCTTTTTCCTAAAATAGGTATGCATGCAGTGTGTGCTCTGCACACATGCACATACACAAACACACACACAGTTTCATTCATTTGTATATTCATTCAATCAATAAGTTGAATTTTGCCTTCGTGCAAGGAACCATGACTATCAGCACAAACAAGAAACTATTCCTGACCCCAAGAGATTCCCAGTCTAGGTGTGGAGAATATGAAGCACAGAAATGGGAACAACTCTAGGTAGGAAATGGAAAGAGAGCAAATTTTTTTTTTTAAGAGGCAGCTGGGCACAGTGGCTCACACCTGTAATCCCAGCACTTTGGGATGCTGAGGCAGGAGGATCATTGGAGGCAAAATCAAGTGTACCTAACAGTTTTAGAAAATTGTACATCGTATACTTCCACTTTCCATCGTGACTTCTGTTCATAGTTTATAGATGTACAACATAAAGACATAATTCCTAAATAAACAAAGCTTCTGTGAAAGCATAATGTGACTCTGCAGGCCTGCTGGCCTGTCTTATTATTGATCTGAAAACAAGATTGACACTACTGTGATTATTCTTTAGTGGGAAGGGACATTCATACTTATTTAGCCATTGCTATGCTTTCAGGCAAATCAACCCCTCAGTAACTCCAGGCAAATGAATATAGGCCTTTCATAAAAAGTGTCTTGGAGAGAAAGCCCACAACTGCAATTAACAGGAAATAGCTGATGCAGTGTGACAGCAAGTCCCCAAACCCTTAATGGAAGGATTGACTGTCATGTGCATGGAGATGTGGTTAGAGAGGAAATAAGTTACTGGGTTTTGTAAGGCACCAACTTGAAAAACATGAAAAGCTGTGGCAGGCCACAAACATGGAGCCCATTTGGAGTAGAGGCAGGCAAGTAGAACGGAGAACCGTGGCATTTCAACCCTAGATTAATCTGAGTGTCGCTTTTGCTGCCACTACTTAACAAGAGTAGCTGTAGAGAGTGAAACATTTTTCCTAAAATGTCATATTTTCTCTGGTAGCTCCTGTTTTCTTCTTTGTATCACATTATAGCTCCACAAAGTTCATGCAAATGCATAACTAAATTTTGATTATGAGAGGTCTCAGAATGCAACTTGTTTATGGGAAGAATATCATTAGTATAGTTTCAGGCAATTCCTTGCAAACTATCCCCAGTTTAAAACAGTCACACCTTAGTCAACAAGCATCTATTGAGCAACCCACTTTCGACCTGGCATTATGGTAGGTGCAAAGGCTAAAAAAAGGTAGAATGAGATAGAACCTCCACGGAATATATACAATAACAAATTATTTTTTTAAAAAACTGGATATAACTTGAGAAACTCTTCTGTACAGGCATTCTGGAGTGAGCTGCAATCCATCATTATTCAGAAATGCATTCATGCATTACACCTTTGTCAAGCCAAGTTCCAGGTTCTGTGCTTGGTGCTGGGAAGATTGAAAGGTCAGCTGAAGTTACAGAAGGCCACGATGCCAGCACAGCTGCTGCCTACTCTTTCGCCTGATTTATTTCTGTTATTTCTTTTACAATTGTGATTAAAAAAACACATAACACCAAATTGACGATCTTAACCATTTTTAAGCACAAGCAGAGTCACGTTCAGTGACTCCACTTCAGTCAAGTTCAGTAGCATTAAGTAGAGTCACGTTTACGTGCATCTGGTCTCCACAACTCTTTCATCTTGCAAACCCAAACTCTATACCATGAAGTATCCAAAGTACTCATATGTATCAAAACAGAGAGTAGGTGGTTGCCAGGTTGCCAGGGCATGGTGGAGGGGGAAGGGAGGAGTTGTTGCCTGATTTCTTTTTAAAGCTCAGTCTTCCCTTTGGCTTCTGGTTCTAAGCGTGTTAGCATCACGGCCCCTTTTCATTATCCTAAAGGACAGACCCAGCCCTGGTTCTGCAGGTGCTGAATTCTACTTGACTCCAAAGAGGCTCAGCCTCTACCTGCACCCAGGTTCTGCTAACTTGGTCTACCCTCTGTTGTTTTTCCTCTCTGTTTTGTTCCCATTTGTAAGATCTCTGCCAAACTTACTTATTTGCTGCTTTTCACAGACACTAGACCATACCACCTCCTGGGTATTCACGATCCATGCCTGGCCCAGCTGACTGTTCTCTTATTCCAGGCTGTTCGCTGTTTACCTCGTCCCTCTTCAGCATCCTCAATATGCCTGCATAATGCATATCCATTTTTCTCCCCAAATTAAAAGCTATGGCCACTGTATGTTGAAAAATGCTTAAAACCCCACCTAAACATTCCAGGAAGCAGGAAGCCATGAATGACTTTAAACCAAGAACAGTCTCAAAAATGTTGTGGTTTCCAGTATGTGAGTCTCGGACTTCAGCATATTGCTGTTCATATGCCACACAAATGTTCTGTAAAGTCCCATTGAGAATTATGTGCAAATTTAAATGCTCTCCAGACAATTTCAAATATCAGCTTTGATGCAAGACTTCACCTGCTAAAAGCATCTCTTTATGGTTTGACACTACATCTCTGACATTTTGACGTGATACATATTCCATCAGCCTGATACATTGCCACCTCCCAGTGAGTCACAGTGTCACTAACTCAGAATTAAATATGTTGCTAAACCACTTTACAGCCCTTGCAAAGCACATAAAGGCTGTTTGACAATTACCCCCAGGAAGGCAAATAATCAGTACACCTCTGATTCTCTTATTATTAACCATTATAAAATCATGTGCTGTGATCAAGGTGTGTAACAAAGACATTGATTTTTATAAGACTACCCAGGAAGCAAATACATATTCTTGATATACGAAACACACAGGAGGCCTCTTCATTTTCCTTTGTGTCTTTAATTTGCTCAGAGCTGCTCCTCATACAGCACTGGCTTTCACCTGTCAAGCTAAGGCTTTAATTACTGAGTTATGGAAAAATCATTGCCAATTGCCTTAACTACAATAATAAAGAATATCTTACAAAGGATAAGAAATCTTTTTTCTTCGGCTCTGTAGTTAAAAGACTAGTTCTAGTTTTAATCTGAACTTTTCTATTTCTCTCCCTATATTTCCCTTTCTTCCTATTTTAATTGCTGGTTAGATAATTAAGTAGGTACCTGACCTGCACCAAATGTGCTTGGGAAAGTCTCTCGTATTTTCGTTTTGCTTTGTTTTGTTTCTGCATGCCATTGAAACCCCTGTGTTAATTATTCTTTCCTTACTTGAAGTATCTTATACAACCTTTCTTCACCAGTATCCTTTTCACTAGGCCAAATACTTATTTTGGAGTCTCAAGGATGATTTTCTAAATCTTTTCATAACCGCTTTTAGCCCTTACTCAGTTTTATTGTGCCTGCCCCTCATTGCACAAAGGGATATATTTGACTATTCCATGGCATATTTGACTTTGTAATTCGTAAATTATTTTTCATGTCTTACATGGTTAAAGATACGTTTCACTTGAGCTTGTAACAGACATAAAAATGACCCATGGTAAACCTGTCGTATTAGAAAATCAAACAAAAAGCATAAGGAGATAACACGGTAAAAATGAAAAGAGTACAAGCTTTAGACCCGTGTGGATCCGAGTTCATATCTAACTTGGCCAACTAATAGCTTGTTAATTATGTTACCTTAGGTTGTATTTTTTTTTTTTTTTTTTCTAATTTAGTCTCGGGGTCTCCGTGTTCTAGCTCCGACCCAAGGGGGTTCCCGGGACGTGGTTGTGGATGTTCAGTGTGCCTTTAACTGGATACTTCTTTATCCTGGCAGACGGCCTGATGCCCAGGTGTGACTTGTGGCCAGGTGTCCCACAAACAGGAAAACCTGTTTACACTGGCAGATGGCCTTGTGGCGTGCTATAGTCTGAATGTCTCTATCCTCCTAAAATCCGTAAATTGAAACCTCATTCCTAACGTGATGGTGTTAATAAGTGGGGCCTTTGGGAGATGATTAGGTAATGAGGGCAGAGCCTTCATGAACAGGATTAGTGCCCAGACAAAAGAGGCCCAAGGAAGCTTGTCCACCTTTGTGCCATGTGAGGACACTGCTGGAAGGCACCATCTATGAAGCAGAGAGTCGGCCCTCATCAGACACCAAATCTACTGCTACCTCTGTCTCGGGCTTCCCAGCCTCCAGAACTGTAAGCAATCTGCTGTTGTTGTTGTTTACAAATTACCCAGTCTAAGATATTTTTTATGGCAGCCCAAACAGACTGAGACATGGCTTTTGTCTGCTCTGTGTCTAGTGTATGTTTTGTTTTGGTTCGGTTTTAAGTTTGTTTGGTTTTTGGTTTTTGGTTTCGCTTTGTTTTTGTAGACAACATCTTACTATGTTGCCCAGACTGGTCTTAAACTCCTAGACTCAAGCAATCCTTCGCCTCAGCCTCTCAAAGTGCTGAGATGACAGGCGGGAGCCACCACGCCCAGCCACCCTGTGTCTAGCTTATTCCTACCAAGAGAATCACTCTCTGTGAAAGCTCTGAGCAGAAGGAGAGTTAGGTTCGCGTGTGTTGCTCAGGTGAGACAAAGAGGAGATCATACAGCAAAACACATGAAATAACAGAAGCAGCGTTTGACTCACAGATCCAGAGCAGAGAGGGCAGCCTGCCTCTCAGGGCCAACAGGAAAGGGGAGCTGTCCTGGACACGCAGGCTCCACCAGTGTGGGGAGCAAAAGAGATCACAAGAGACCTCAGGGCCTAAGACTTTGTTGGGGTCTCAGGAGTTACCCAAGCAGGTTTCCTGCTGAGAGTTCTAATGGGGGTGGGTGGTGGGGGGCGTTACAGCAACAATTACCAGTTTCATGGAGCCACACTGTGCCTGAGCGGTAGTAACTGTGGCATCTCCATGCAGTCCATGCAGCGGGAGGGGTCTTGGGCGTGAGTCAGGTAGGTTGTATTGAGCTGTCCCCTGGGGAGGTGGGCACTAGCAGATACCTGGATTGACCGCCTTGAGGAGCTAGGAGGAAGCAGAGAACTAGAAATCATGTCAAGATTCACTAAGCCCTGCATCTGCTATGAGAAAGTCCAACTTACAATCAAAATGGATGCCCAGGCAACATAAAATTGTAAGATTTCGCTACGCCTTAGGCAATGAAACTTGGCTGCCTTCCAGTGAATATTTACTGAGCGTCTAGCTTATTTGAGAAACCATAATAGACACTACAGGGACTGCGAAGAATGGGAAATAAACCAATTACACAATCACCCACATAGCAGCGATACAAGGCCAGCCATATCAAACAACCCAACAGATAAACAGTTCATATGTTATATGGTGTCAGAAGTAAGACACATCAAAAAATGGTAAAATACGTTTGATACTACTGTCCTTATAAAATCACCAACCATAGGAAAAATGATTTTTATTAATGACAGGGATATAATGAAAATAGTTTATGTGTGAAAACACATAAGTAATTACATAATACATTATGATCAAAATTAGATACAGCATTGCTGGGCAAGACCTTTTTCTCCTCTAATGCTGTCCTTCAATATTATTACCAAAATATAGCACCAGTTTTTGTTTTTGTTTGAGGCAGGGTCTCACTCTGTTGCCCAGGCTGGAATGCAGTAATATGATCATGGCTCACTGCAGCCTCAACCTCCTGGGCTCAAGTAGTCCTCCCATTTCAGCCTTCCAAAGTGCTGGGATTACACTCGTGAGCCATTGTGCCCAGCCAGTACCTGGTTCTTAATTAACTATATGAAAGGCAAAATCTGTTTTGCTGCTGAGCAATTATAGTACTATGCATTATGTGTGTGTGTGTATGAGTGTGTGTATAACATGTAGTTTATATCCATATATAAACTACATATAGTTTATATTTAATTGAGTGTAGACAATTTATAGGTTATAATATCTTTAGTTATAACATTCACATGGGTGTAATTTTTTATACTATTCTAATTTATCATTCCTTTCTGTTTTACCTTCAACTCTGGTTGAAGTAATGTAGTTACTATCTGTTTTCCGAGTTAGACTTCCACTTTTCCTCTCTGGCTACCTGACACCCCAAGCTAGTGTAGGTGGCTATATCATTGCCTGGAATTGAAGTTTTTAAGCCTCTGATAATTCAGTCTGTAGAAGCTACCCAGCTCAAGAACAAAGGGGAAATTACATATTTCATAACATGCTTCAACATGAATGCATTTAATTAGTATTTATAAATTTGAATCAAAATGCAGGAAATATTCTAAAAATATAATTTCTCTAGAAGAGTTATATAATCTCTATTAATGTAGGCCAACTGCTTCTGTTTCAAACACAGAAGAATGTTCTTCAATTTTTCATTTGTGAAACTGAATAGTCTCTTCTGAAAGAGTATATAGTATTTTTCCTTTTGGGAATACAAAAGCTTTTACAAAATGATTATACTAATCATCAGATATAAGAGTAGTACCAATTCTCTACCTAGAATAGCTGTTAACCATGGCACTTGGTGAATTGGGAATAGACTTAAATGATGCTTCTCCTTGGGCCCCCACCTCCCCAACTCCTACCTTTCTCGAAACCAGGCTATTTCTCTCCAAATCTCCTTTCCTTTTGATTCTTCAGTTCGTGCTACATGATAACTACTTGCCATTGGTCATTAATTATGGTCGACGCTCATTATTCACAGGAGTATGACCCATAAAATCACTGCAAACACTGAATAAGTTAATACTGAACCATTGCCCCTAGAGGGAATTCAGGGTTAAGTTCCTGCAAGCCTCTGGTCACAGTATATTCATCAACCTATCAATACATAACGTTATTTTATGCATGTTTCTGCTTTAAGACATCTTACTTAACATATGTTTTTGATTCATTAACACTGAACTCATGGCCAACAGCTCTATAACTAATGTCTGAAAAAAGCTTATCTAATAGGCATGTTTTCCCCATAAGGCACATCACAGCCTTCTTGTGCTTAGGAACACTGGACGACACTCAACACTGCGCTTGGGGGCCATTTGAAACAGTAATATCACCAATAAAAAAAAAGCACAAAAATGTCAGGGGGAAATGTGGCAGTAAATAGGCTGTGAAAAAGACATTTGTTTGCAGTATGAGCTAAAAGAAGGCAGGGCATCACCTTGTTCTACATCAGTAGGGATCATGAGTGTTATGCCACTCAATTTTTTTGCCAGCCTGTGTGTACACGTGTCCTCAAATGACCATGAAAGCACTGCAAGTATAGATTTGGGGATTACAAATAAATTTCAACAAGTAGATGAGTTTGCAAACATGGAATCCGCAAATAATTACTGTTGACTACACCATCCTTTTGAACAAAAATAAAAGCCACAATTCAACTTGAGATTGGTTATAGATGGCAACTGGCATTTAGTGAGCACCTGCTATGAGCTGGGTGCCTTACTTTTTTTTTTGTTTTGAGACAGAGTCTCGCTTTGTCGCCCAGTCTGGAGTGCAGTGGCACCATCTCAGCTCACTGCAAGCTCCACCTCCCAGGTTCACGCCATTCTCCTGCCTCAGCCTCCCCAGTAGCTGGGACTACAGGTGCCTGCCACCATGCCCAGCTAATTTTTTTTTTTTTTTAGTAGAGACGGGGTTTCACCCTGTGAGCCAGGATGGTCTCAATCTCCTGACCTCGTGATCCGCCCGCCTCGGCCTCCCAAAGTGCTGGGATTACAGGCGTGAGCCACCACACCCAGCCACTGGGTGCCTTACTTTTAGTAACACATTGACCTGGGATGTGATCAACTCGAGAACCACATCACTGTCATGTAGCTGCATGGAGCTGTATCACTCAACTTCTGGGGGCTTATGTTTCATAACAATTATCTTTTATAAATGTTCAATTTAAAAATGAAAAACTTCCCCACCCCAATCACCACCTCCTTTCCCCCTCTCCCTTCCCTTTAATGAACCATCTAAGGGAAGGACATGTGTGCTTCTTTGACATTTCTTCACAGAATCCAGTCCAATGGCAGGGAGGCTGGGTGAGGGTCAGTGTCAGCCTAGCCAGTAGGGAATCCATGGAGCTGGGGCATGTCAGGGGAGTGTCTCTTACTGAGAACTCTGGGTCCTCTTGGATCAAAGAATGTGCAAATTGAGCTAAGAGATAGAGGGGAATTCGAGAAGATCACCTAAAATGGGCAAACAGGAGGAAGCTAGATCCAGGTAGCCTGGGAGTCAAGAACAGTGAGCCCTGTGTGAGCTAAAAAACCAGAAGCAAACCTTGGCCAATGGCTGGAGCTGGTGTTTTTGCTCAAGCCTGGCTTTCATGGGCTCCCCTTGATGTGAGTCTCAGAGTAGGGCTGGTTAAGTGGCCAGGACCTGAGAAATAAAATCTCCCTTATATACTCTTGAGAGAACAAGTCTAACATATCAGTAAGGTAATAGCTATAAAAATGTGGCTAGGCCGGGCGTGGTGGCTCGTGCCTGTAATCCCAGCACTTTGGGAGGCCGAGGCTGGTGGATCACCTGAGGTCTGGAGTTTGAGACCAGACTGGCCAACATGGTGAAACCCCATCTCTACTAAAAATACAAAAAAAATTAGCCAGGTGTAGTGGTAGGTGCCTGTAATCCCAGCTACTCGGGATCCTGAGGCAGAAGAATCACTTGAACCCAAGAGGCAGAGGTTGCAGAGAGCTAAGATCATGCCATTGCACTGCAGCCTGGGCGACAAGAGCAAAACTCCGTCTCAAAAAATAGAAAAAATAAGTGGCTAAGTCAGTAGTGAAACTACGAAGCTAACTTATTACATTTTTCACCTTTTGAACTTTCAAACTTGAGTCATTTATGGACATCTTTGAAGGGAACAGTTATTATAAACTCTCACTGTTGACCTAATTAACATTATAATGTCAATTATATATGTATAGAAAGAATTCTAGATATACACTCCTGCTAATATATTTCTAAGATTTTTTAATGTTTTATGATATACAAATTTGGATATAAGAAAAATTATAAAACCAACAAAATTAAAACTAGTAAAGTGAATGTAACGAGATAGGCTGTATAGTTCACACCACACAATGTCGTTTAGTCGACAGTGGACCGCACAGATAACAGCAGTTCCATAAGATTATAGAGGAGCTGAACATTTCCTATGCCTAGTAACATCACAGCTGTTGTTAAGGTCCTATCACAACACATTACTCCTATGTTTGTGATGACACTGGTGTAAACAAACCTACTGCACTGCCAGGCATATAGAAGTGTAGCTTATACAATTATGTACAGTAATACTTGATAATGATAATATTTGACTATGTTACTGGTTTATGTATTTGCTATATTATATTATACATTTTATCATTCAAGTGTATTCCTTCTACTTATTTTAAAAAATTTGCTGTGAAACAGGCAGGGTACAGTGGCTCATGCCTGTAATCCCAGCACTTTGGGAGGCCGAGGCAGGTGGATCACCTGAGGTCAGGAGGTTGAGACCAGCCTGGTTAACATGCAGAAGCCTCATCTCCATGAAAAATACAAAAATTAGCCAGGCATAGTGGTTCACCCTATGATCCCAGCTACTCGGAAGGCTGAGGCAGAAGAATCACTTGAGCCCGGGAGGCAGTTTGCAGTAAGCCAAGATCGCGCCACTGCACTCCAGCCTGGGTGACAGAACAAGACTCTATCTCAAACAAACCGAAACATTAAGTGTGAAACAACCTCAGCAGGTCCTTCAGGAGGGATTCCAGAAGAAGGCATTGTTACCATAGGAGCTGGCAGCTCTGTGTGTGTCACTGCCCCTGAAGACCTCGCAGTAGGACAAGGTGTGGAGGTGGAAGACAGTGATATTGATATTCCTGACCCTGTTAGGCCTAGGCTAATGTGTGTGTTTGTGTCTTAGTTTTTACAACAAATATTTAAAGTACAAAAATGAAAAAATTCAAAGTAGAAGAAAAGGCTGATAGAATAGGATATAAAGAAAAAATATTTTTGTATGGCTGTACAATGTGCTTGTGTTTTAAGCTGTGTTATCACAAAAGAGTAAAAAAGTTAAAAGAAATTAAAAGTTTAGAAAGTAAAAAAAGTTACAGTAAACTAATGTGTATTAAAGAAAAGTATTTTTTTACAAATTTAGTGAAGCCTAAGTATACAGTATTTTTTAAGTCAACATTAGTGTACAGTAATGTTCTAGGCCTTCACGTTCACTCTCCACTCACTCACTGACTCACCCACAGCAACTTCCAGTCCTGCAAGCTCCATTCATGATAAGTGCCCTATACAGGTGTGCCATTCTTTTTATCTTTTACTCTGTATTTTTACTGTACTTTTTCTATGTTTAGATATATTTAGATACACAAATACCATTGTGTTACAACTGTCTACAGTATTTAGTACAATAACATGCTGTACAGATTTGTAGCCTGGGAGCAACGGGCCATAGCATATAGCCTAGGTATGTAGTAGGCTATACAGTGGCAGTTTGTGAAGTGCATTCTGTGATGTTTGCATGACAACAAAATTGCCTAGAGACACACTCCTCAGAATACATCTCCATCGTTCAGGCTCAGCAATGCATGACTGTATTAGTAAACTAAATTTCCACTTTCAATGAGAATTTTTTCAGTGTAGCTTGTTTTGAGTTCATTTTGCCTATACACTATAAGTTTGTGATAATTCAATTTTGCTACTACTTTTTTCTAATCAAACTACTATCAAATCTCCACCCACAGAGCATACTTTTATGTAATTTGCTTTCACTTGGGCCAAATATCATTTTTGTATTAAGTTGGCCTATGTTCTTTTCTCAATAGGTAACCAAAATTAAAGCAGTAGCATTTGGCAGCAATTACAAACAGAAATGAGAGCATTTATGTCCTGGCGGGAGTTGGTTGTTAAGTGGCCATCCGGAAGTTATGCAATATGTTTTCTTTCTCTTTTCTTTTCTGTTTTTTTTTTTAAGATTGCTATTGAAATGAAAACAGAAACTGCACCAACTGATGTTAAAGATAAATACAAAGCCATCGTAATTAAAAGAGTATGTCACAAATGCAAGAATAGGCAGAAGGATCACTGGAACTGATTAGAATGTCAGAATACTGTTTACATAAGAAGTAGTGCATACTGAAACTGGCAATTTAAATGAACGGGGATCCTGCAGTGTAAAACTCTGAAATAAACAAACAAATAAATAAACAGGGATGAAGACAAATTTTGCTAAGAAAATTATGTGACTATACTTTAAAAAATAGTTTCTATTTTACGTTAGATGCTAAAATGAATTCCAAAGAATTACAGACTTCAATGTGCAAAGAGGAAGAATGCATAGAAAAGTGATACTAAAAGCAATTCAGTATTTTTCTGTTCTCTAAATTTTAAAAAGCCCTTGTGGCTGGGCACAGTGGCTCACGCCTGTAATCCCAGCAGTTTGGGAGGCCGAGGCGGGTGGATCACGAGGTCAGGAGATGGAGACCATCCTGGCTAACACGGTGAAACCCTGTCTCTACTAAAAATACAAAAAATTAGCCGGGCGTGGTGGCAGGTGCCTGTAGTCCCAGCTGCTCGGGAGGCTGAGGCAGGAGAATGGGGTGAACCCAGGAGGCGGAGCTTGCAGTGAGCTGAGATCGCACCACTGCACTCCAGCCTGGGCGACAGACAGAGCCAGACTCCGTCTCCAAAAAAAAAAAAAAAAGCCCTTGTAAGCATAAATACAAAGGAAACTTGGTAGATATGGCAACATAACAATTAAAAGTTCATGTAAGTACAAAAATCAACAAATTAAAAACTGAGAAACTGGAAAAATATTTGCAATACATTGATATAAAAATCATAATATGTTTTTAAAAACTTTTAAAAACTAGCAACAAAAAGTAAAAGATGAACAACCAGGTGATGGAAAAAAAAAAAAAAGATCCAGAATTGTTCAGTAAAGGTGTAAAAAGTGTTTCCAATCAAAGAAATACAAACTGAAACAAGAATATAATATTTTATTTTGGTTTTGGTTTTGTTTAATAAGCAGAAAATGGTGAGGCATTTTTGACAAGCAATTTTGCAAGACAGATCAATAATCTTTAAAACGTATGTAGTTCTTGAGCAAGGATTTTCACCTCTAAAATTATATTTCAAAGAAATAATTGTAGACCACATGCAAGATTTTTTTTACAGATTATTTGTCATAAAGTTATATATAATTGTGAAAAATGCAAATCAATGATATCTGTCACCCAGAAAGGAAGGAAATGGTTAAATACATTTAAGTTTAGCCGTATAACAGTATTCCTTAAAAATAAGTCTCCTAGGCCAGGCACAGTGGCTCACGCCTATAACCCAGCACTTTGAGAGGCCAAGGTGAGCGGATTACTTGAGGTCGGGAGTTTGAGACCAGGCTGGCCAATATGGTGAAACCTCATATCTAGTAAAAATACAAAAATTAGCTGGGCATAGTGGCGCACGCCTGTAGTCCCAGCTACTCGGGAGGCTGAGCCAGGAGAATCGCTTGAAACCAGGAGGCAGAAATTTCAGTGAGCCTAAATCACGCCACTGCACTCTAGGCTGGGTGACAGAGCTAGACTCCGTCTCAAAAAAACAAGAAACATCACCTAAAAAAAAGTCTTTGAAGACTATTAACATGGAAGCATGATAATGGTATAATTTTAATAAGAAATTATGATAGAACACTGATAGAATATTATCCCAGTTTTACAATTCCACATGTATTTACATGTACCTGGGAAAATTATAATGAAAATGTTAACACATTTTTTTCTTGTCAGTAAGTGCAGGGGAACCTTACATTTTCTTTATGGTTTTCTGATTATTCCAAATATTGTAAAATACACATTATTCATATACTTTTAAAATGTGGATCTTAACTGTTTTCCTTTAATCTGCTATCTTACCTTTTTAAATCTAGGAAATGTATGTATCTCAAAATGGTAAAACTGAATATTTAATATTCTAGAAATTAATGTTTTATAAATCTTAATTTTCTTCTCAGTAATATTGTATAATTTTAAATATTGGCAGATTGTCAGCTATGGCTGTGCCTATTTAAAGCCAAAACTCCTGCCAATTTTGTGAAAACTTACGCTCATTATCTAGATTTTTGTTTGTAGTACGATAAATATTTTCACCGTACTTTACCTGCTTTGGCAAAAGATAGATGGCAGAAGAAGGAGCTGATTAAATAACCAATAAATACAAGAGAAAATCTGGGACATTTTTTGCTTTTATTATTACTTTTTATACCATTATGCTGGTAAATTATTTATAATATTATGATTATGCTAGGATTATAGAACGAAAGGTAATAAGTTTTATGGATTGTCAGTAATAATAATTACTGTAAATTGTCTTTTAAAATAATGAAGGCTAAAATACTTAGGTATTGAGAGTGTTTTCTTCTTGCTACTCTGTGATGTATCGTTGCAGCAGGCTGAGATAATGGAAAAGGCTGAGAGCTACAAGCCAAAAAGACTGGGTGTTGAGTCTCTAATTCCACTTCTTTTTTTTTTTTTTTTTTCAAGACAGAGTCTAGCTCTGTCGCCCAGGCTGGAGTGCAGTGGTGTGGTCTCAGCTCACTGCAAACTCTGCCTCCCGGGTTCACGCCATTCTCCTGCCTCAGCCTCCAGAGTAGCTGGGACTACAGGTACCCGCCACCACACCCGGCTAATTTTTTGTATTTTTAGTAGAGACAGGGTTTCACCGTGTTAGCCAGGATGTTCTTGATCTCCTGACCTCGTGATCCACCCGCCTCGGCCTCCCATAGTGCTGGGATTACAGGCGTGAGCCACTGCGCCCGGCTAATTCCACTTCTTATTAGCTCTGGGATTGTGGACAATTTCTCTAGGCAGAGCTTCCTCGTCTGTAAAATATGAATGAGTCTAATATGTATGCATCTAGTAATCTGATTTAATCACAAAATGGGACTAGACTATACAGTCCTTAAAGAATCTATCACTATGACTTCTCTCAGTGGCCTTTTTTTTTTTTTTTTTTTTTTTTTACAGAGCTGGATAATAAAGAGCTTAGAATTTTATTCCTGAAAGGCAACTAGAGTGCTAGGCATTCTGGGTTTCTGATAGAAGACATGCACATAAGCTTTAGCAAACACTCAGAACTCTATGCTCCCTAACTACAACTTCGCCAGAGTGCAGAGGCCAACTCTTTTCCTTTAAAAAACTAACTCCAGGATGTGTTCACATGGTCAATAAGATCTATAGTTCTTTGCTGATCATCCCCTGGGAAACTTTTAAAATGAAGTCTGACACATTACAAACCATGCACAGAAACAAACAATATCAGTAAAACTCTCAAGTAATGCGTGGTTTTGAGCCATGTAGAGTCCAGGTAAGCCTTCCAAGCTTGGTTAGGTGCAAAACATACTTTCTCCAGTATGTAAATTAATAGGAATCTTTTTTTTTTTTTTTTTCTGAGATGGAGTCTCACTCTGTCAGCCAGGCTGGAGTGTAGTACCACAATCTCTGCTCACTGCAACCTCTTCCTCCCTGGTTCAAGCGATTCTCCTGCCTCAGCCTCCCAAGTAGCTGGGATTACAAGTGGACACCACCACGCCTGGCTAATTTTTTTGTATTTTTAGTAGAGACGGGTTTTACCATGTTGGCCAGGTTGGTCTCAAACTCCTGACCTCAGGTGATCTGCCTGCCTCGGCCTCCCAAAGTGCTGGGATTATAGGTGTGAGCCACCATGCCCAGCCTATAAATAGGCATCTTTGATGGCCTTTTAAAACAACCAGACTTTGTAGGCTATCTGCAAAAGATAATAGTTTGAAATTTTAATATTTATTTAAATAGTCCTCCTGATGGTAACTGATCACTAACTTTTGAAGTGCGTTGGGTTGGACTCAGTAAAAATCTCAGCAATAGCTTATAGGAAATTATTCTTCTGTTTTCTAAGGCAGGAGGCTATGCACCCGTGTCATCTAAAAGAGTGGCCCATGGTGCTATGGAGCAAGCCAAATCTTCATTGCAGTCCAGTTCTGTCATTTACCAAATCTGTGACCTCCAGAGAGCTGTTTTATTAATCTACCCCTCAGCTTCTTCATCTGTAAAATGGGACAATGATAGCCCTTCTCTTCCAGATTAGGCACCTAATGCAGAACCTAGTGAGATCTAAATATATATTAGCTACATCTATTATTATGTTTATAAAGACAAAGGATAAATGGTAGTCCTGTTTTGTCCCACTCAAAGCTGTTCTCTGAGCCACAAAAAGACTGTTTCAGCTGCATGCCAAGTTAACACATTGCAGTTAAGAAGGAAAAGCATTGCAGTTAAGAAGGAAAAGCATTGCAGTAGAGACTAGTCCGTGAACATCTTTGTCCTCACCATTCCTATCGCCTTCTTTTAAATGAAGGAGGCAGTGGGTTTCTTATATTTTGGTCCCCATGATTTTGCAATTTATAGCCTTGATAACCTGGCCACAGCTAATTAAGCCAAGGTTCGGGGCTCATTCCTTAGGCCGTGATGTGCAACTTGGCCTGTACCCTCTAACATGGCTTCTCATGAGAACTCTACCTAACAGAAAGTTCTGTGTTGAATAGCGATGAACGGATTCACTCCAACCTTCTCTCAGTGACTTTGAATAAAAGATATGCAGACTGTATAGCAGCCTAAAGAGTGGGCTCTGTTCCCTCGCAAATTTTAGCATACTCATTGAGAAGGGAGGGAGCTTTGGGGAGACAGTGAGAGAAGAGAATTTAAACATTGTGGGCAATTTCTTCTGCCCTTCCATTTGCTGTGGAATTTTCCAGCCATTTTATGTTCTGTGGATTTTTCATGCTTGATATGGTTGGTTTCTGGGATGTGTTTCAGTCAACATTGACCCAAAAACCATGCAGTCAGTTTTCTGTCTAAAAGCCAAAGCTGTAACCTCACTGATATTGCAGAAATGTTTCTATCACTTTCTGACCCCTAAAAGTGCATGTCTCTTAGATCATAGCTTTGCTGGTATCAAGATTACATTTTTAACAGTATAAACCTTTTACATATGCAGTAGCAATTAGAATGCTCTCCCCAAGAGGAGGACATTCTCTGAAATCCCAAGTAGGAGTGAACCCAGAGTAGCATAGCATATCTGCTAACTTGATTCCATCTGTCTTTGTTGCAACATGCTCACTGAGCATATGCCCCTAAATGAATATGAGATGAAGACAGGATCTGTGGTCCCTCCCGCAACATTGATGGGGTAAGTTTTTTTGCTAGGCTGAGTGTGGTTCAAATATTTTTGTACAATATATATCCTAAACACAAACAACTACTTCGTCTGTTGCCC
The DNA here is from genome assembly GCF_000001405.40 of Homo sapiens. Classification (NCBI taxonomy): domain Eukaryota; kingdom Metazoa; phylum Chordata; class Mammalia; order Primates; family Hominidae; genus Homo; species Homo sapiens. The sequence goes on from NC_000007.14 coordinate 148,056,761, forward strand.
ACCCAAAAATATGCTGATCTGTTTTGTGCTGAAGTATGATCGTTCGTGTTGGCGTCCTTGAGAAGTAATGGGATAAGGTACTTGAAGGGCGATTTAAGAGCTTTCCAGAGCAGCCCTTGGCTTTTCTTAATTTTCCAGTTTTGCAACAACTTTTAGAGCCCAATCCTCATGTAAGCTTTGGATCCACTGGAATTAAAAGCTCAGACTTTATAGACAAACAGACCTGGGTTTGAATCCTATTTCCATCACTTGCCTTTAGGAAAGTTGCTCAACTTTTCTGAGTCTTCATTTTCTCATCTGTGCCCACCCTCTTATTGCAGTGAGGCTTGAGTGGTATTCACAGCCCTCGGTGCAGTCACTTCCATACATAAGAGCCACTGTTGTTGTTAACATAGTTTAGAAGTTAAGAGAGTCACAGGCGTCGTAAACCCTCAGATAGTACCAGTCATGAGGAAGCAGAATTCACTAAGCGGTGGGTAGGAGGGTGCACAAGTAGCCAGGTATACAAGTAGCCGGGAGCTGCTGAGTGTCCCAGGTCTCCATGAGGATCAATCGCTCAATAGCTTGGATAGTCTGCGTGTGGATAACACATCAGCAAGGAATAGAGACAACGCCTTAAAACAGACTTTCAGCATTTCTGGTGTCGAAAGGTCCTAACATGAGGTCTCACTAAATTCGAGATTTCATCAGCCTGAGAAGAACTCAGGGTAAAATAAGAGTAGTAATACACACCCCTTTTAACCTGGGTTAGAATGCGTTTATGAGTGTGAGGTGATCTTCAAGTATAAAGCCCTATGTGGATGTAACATGATAGCAGATTATAAATATTAATAGCATTTTAAGTCAAAGATAACTATTTAGAATTGTGAATAATAGAGAAGAAAGACTGTGGGCATCACTGTACCTCCTACCCTCAGTTAAAACTTACTGAAGGAACTGAAGGTTAAACATTCTTGATAACCATTGTATTTCTGCAGTGTCTCAGAAGTATTACTAGAAGACAAGCATGGGATTTAGAGTTAAACTAACCTTGGGTTCAAATCATAATGCTGCCACTCCTTGACTGTGTGATGGTGGAGAAGTTATTTCACTTCTCTAAGCTTCAAATTCTCTATCAGAAATGTTTTTTCTGTAGCTATCTGCTTAGGAACAAAGAGAAAGGCAGCTTCCTGCATGACTCAGCTTCCAGCTTATTATTATTATTATTATTATTATTATTATTATTATTGTTATTATTTGCTTTTGACAAAGTGAACTGAGGTCCCAAGTTTTTATTTCCCTTTCACAGAGTCAAGTTTATTGGTATAATCCTGCTAAGAAGTACTTAAAACAAAAACTAGCTATTCACAAACAAGTCAAATATATACCCTCTAGAGTGTGTTGATAACGTGACTTAGTACATGAAGAGAGAGCATGGTGTTCAATTGTGCAGGTCAGGTGAAGCTAGTCTTTCATGCCTCATCACAAGTAGCAGATTTCCATTAAGAATTGGCAAGCTCTCAAAGCTCAGACTCTCCCAGAGCAGAGCAAACAGGCAGATGCGAATACATGCCTATCCCAGCAGCATCTGTTTATGCCAGTGGGGAGAAACCATCCCCTCCACACACGGTTAAACAAGTCAGTGTGCAGCCTACCTCCAGGGCCCTTCTCGTTTTGCCTGGGAATGTCCTGGGTGGCTTGTAGGAGATGAGGATGCAGCTTGGGGCAGCCAAACCTGGGGCATTTCAGAGGCAGAGTATAATTCATGTGGCAATACCTGGCTCTTTATGGCCCGTAGTTTTACACCTACCATCCTCTGCACACAGAAAACTTTAGGCAGAAATGGAGCATGCACAACCAGGTCTGCATATCCGAGAGTGGTCATTTCCTTGCAAGGCGTGTCGCTTGACTGAGGGGACTAGGGGGCTGCAGAGGGGCTGGCAGATGTTTGGCTTTTGGTGCAGATATGAGCCAAATAAATTGAAAATAGGAAGAAGGAGTACATGACCTCACCCAAATTTTAATTCCCATAGAATAGTTTTTTGTTTGTTTGTTTTTAGCGTTGTATGCCTAATAGGGTAAATGTTATTCAAAAAATAGCCCAGGTGTTAGAAAGACAAAATAGTTGTTACCTTTAGGGAAATGGTTGTGAACAAAAGGGGCACACAGGGGGTGTCTGGGCCACTAATAATGTTCTGTTTCTTGATGTGGATTCGAGTTACATGGGTGTGTCACTTTATGAAAATTCATCAAGGGCCATCAAGGGCTCGGTGGCTCATGCCTGTAATCCCAGCATTTTGGGAGGCCAAGGTAGGCGGATCACTTGAGGTCAGGAATTCGAGACCAACCTGGCCAATGTGATGAAACCCAATCTCTACCAAAAAAATAAAAAATAAAAATTAGCTGGGCGTGGTGGTACACTGCTGTAGTCCCAGCTGCTTGGGAGGCTGAGGTGGGAGAATCACTTGAACCCAAGACGTGGAGGTTGCAGTAAGTGGAGATCATGCCACTGAACTCCAGCATGGGTGACAGAGTGAGACCCCATCTCAAAAAGAAAACAAAAACAAAAGGTCTGGCACGGTGGCTCACACCTATAATCCCAGCACTTTTGGAGGCTGAGCAGACTAGGATCACCTGAGGTCAGGAGTTCGAGACCAGCCTGACCAACATGGTGAAACCCCTTCTCTACTAAAAATACAAAATTATCCGGGTGTGGTGGTGCATGCCTGTAATCCCAGCTACTCTGGCTGAGGCAGGAAAATCGCTTGAACCCGGGAGAGGGAGGTTGCAGTGAGCTGAGACGGTGCCCCATTGCACTCCAGCCTGGGCAGCAAGAGCAAAACTCTGTCTCAAAAAAAAAAAAAAAAAGAAAGAAAGAAAGAAAATTCATCATGCTGTATACTTATAATCTGAGTATTTTTCTTCATGTAGGTTATTAAAAAACAGCAGAAATATTCTTCTCTCAAAAGAAATTTCTATATTTTAAAATATGCATATTTATACTATACATATATTTATATTTAAATTATATATATATATTTAGTAAGGAGGGGAATACATATAACTTGATACAAAGTCTGCACTAAGTTAGAATATATCTAATGCAAATTAATACTTGAGTGCATATTAAGATATATCAAAATTTAAAAATTGGTCAAGGTTTTTAAGTGCTTTGACAGTTACAGTAAGGTAAGGTTCTACATAAAATAACATGAGTATTGTCAGCTTCCACCTTACATTTCCAGGAATAGTCATTTTTCATGCATTCATTATATTCTTTTCAGCATCATTTGCAGAGTTTTTGAACTTCTAAGCTGTACCACACAGAAATGCCATAACACTCATTTTGACTATTTCAACAAAGTATTATAACTAAGCCATTAATTGATCCACTAGCTTTGCTGTTGGGAAAATTTACTTATTTTGTAAATACAGCCACATTGACTTTTAAAGTCATCTAAATAAGCTTGTTATTAAATAAAAATGTTTTGAACCTTAAAACTGCTTTAAATGATTTTAAATAAATGGTTTATATTTTTTTCTCAGTAGTAATAATTTTTCTGAAGTATTTGCTTATTGTTTTTAAGTGATTTCTTTATACATATATATGTATATTTACATACTATGTGTATATATTAGGCAATATTAAATGACCTGAAGCTTTTGATCAATTCTAATAGAACAGACAATTGCAATTCTAAATTAGCTCTCATAAAATGGAACATTTTGCAAGTAGCTAATAAATATTTGTTGATCAATAGTTATACCTTGAATCCTTTATCTATTAGAATTTTCCAGACAACAAACTCATATTGTTTCTCCTTTAGGTTCATTTGGATGTATCAACATAGTAACTCTTGTTACAAAAATATTTTAAGTTTAAAATCAATTATTTGGTTAAATTCTGTATGCATATTTTAATAGTTAATAGACAAGGTAAAATCAGCTCACTTCCATGTGTTCAATATTTATTGCTTGAAAATTAAGGCTTATAAATTAGAGTATGCTAACTATGCCTTTTTGTTATAGATCCTCAGCGCTGTTGGTTGTATTATGGAATAGTTAAGTATAGGCTCTGCTCTCCAGACACCAAAGGTTTAACTCAGCTCTGTCTTTCACCAGGCTTGAGCACCAAAGGGGAAGTCAGAGAAAAAGTAACAGCAAGTGAAATAAAAATAGAATTCTCAAAAGCAATAGTTGAAAGACAAGACCACAGAATGGTATGATCAAAGTGTTGAGAGAAAGAGAAACAGAAATTGAGAGTTTGAGACCAAAAGGTTTTTCATTAAAGCAATCTCTAAAGGATTTACTTAATTTTTTTAAATAAAAGAAACCCAGAAGAAATGTCTGAGGTGTAAGAAGTATTGATCAAAGACATTAATGAAGATATAGGTTAAAGGTTTTTAAAACTGTGTAATAAAATATTAACATCAAAATTAATGTGTTTTAAAAAGGAGTAAATGAAACAATTAAAAATGAAGTCTGTTAGAAAGAGAATAATCAAAATTACAGTTTTTTAAGATCCTTGTATTTTAAGAGGATTTAAAAGAGTGATTAACTTTAGACTTTCTTAAGTATGTAAGATAGAATTCCAAAGTGCCCACTTTTTAAATTTTTTATTATTTATTTTTTGAGACAGACTGTCATTCTGTCACCCATGCTGTAGTGCAGTGGCATGATCTTGGCTCAGTGCAACCTCCACCTCCCAGGTTCAAGTGAGTCTCCTGCCTCAGTTTCCCAAGTAGCTGGGACTACAGGTGCACGCCATCACGCCTGGCTAATTTTTTGTATTTTTAGTAGAGACGAGGTTTCACCATGTCGGCCAGGCCTATCTCAAAGTCCTGATCTCAAGTGATCCACCTGCCTCGCCCTCCCAAAATACTGTGATTACAGGTGTGAGCCACCACACCCAGCCTTCAAAGTGCCCACTTAATATTAAATAATATATAACTTCAAAACCAGAATGGGGGAGGAAATGGATTAAGAAAACAAATATAAATCATCTATTCAGAAAGACTAAACAATATAAGACAATAGGAACAAGTCTGTCTTTCTTGCTTTTACATGTGTGCATGTGTGTGTGTAGTCTAGATACCTAGATAGTTAGATAAATAGATATAGATAGATAGATAAACAGATATAGATAGATAGATAGATAGATAGATAGATAGATAAACAGATATAGATAGATAGATAGATAGATAGATAAACAGATATAGATAGATAGATAGATAGATAGATAGATAGATAGATAGATAGATAGATAGATGATAGAGAGAGAGAGAGAGAGTGTGTGTGTGTGTGTGTGTGTGTGTGTGTGTGTGTGTGTGTGTGTGTTTAGTCCATGGCAGTGGACTAAATATACTAGCTAAAAGATCTTGTCAAATTAGTTTAAAAAGAAGCTAAGTGGTTTTTTTAAGACACATCTGAAATAAGAGGACTCAGAAAGCCTGAATGGAAAATAATGAAAAGAGACATAATATGCAAATAATAATTAAAGGAAAAACCGGGTAACTATAATAGCAGGTAACAAAGACTTCAAAAACCTTTTTAGAAGGTAGAAAGGATACTGAATTATGGCAAGCGATTCATTTTGCCAGAAGAACTTAGCAATTTTAAACTTGAATTCGCAAAATACTCTCAAAATATATAAAGCAAAAATTGACAGAAGTGCAGGGAGAAATTGATAACTCAAATATCATAGAAGAAAATGTGGCATATTAATTTCAGAACTGATCATTTAGGCACACGACAATAAGTAAAAATAGAGGTTTCCACCAATATAATTTAAAAACTTGATTGACATAAAGTCTAAACAAAATAAAGAACACACATTCTTCTAAGATATAAATGAAATGTTTAAAACATTTATGACTTTCTAGGGGAAGGTATCTTAAAAATACTTAGAACTGAAGGACAATAAATAATCCTATAAATAAATATTCATGAGATGCAAGACAAAGATAGTTGTAGTTATTTTACACTTTAAATGCTTAAGTAAAAAATGAGTTAAGGCTAGAAACTCATAGCTAAATTCAAATAAAGTAAAAGTATGTGATGATGTAAGAGCAGAGCTTAATGAAATAAAACTTGAAGTTATAGTAGGGAGGATCAACATAGTCACAAGTTAGTTTCTTGAAAACAGAAAATCCTCCAGCAAAATTGGTTAAGAAAAAAGGAGAACACCACAAATAATCAATACAAGAAATGAAAATGGAGATAATTATAGGTAGCAGACACTTTAAATGACAATAAGAGAATACCATGAACAAAGCTGGCCAAAGCATTTGAAAATTTAGGCAAAATGGATGAATTCCATCTATAGTATATATGTATCAGAATATTATTTTTATTGAAAGATATTGTCACTGGGTATCGAGTTCTAGGTTGACAGTTCATTATTTTTTTCTTTCTTATTTTAAAGGTGTGGTCCTACTGTCTTCTGGATTGCATTATTTCCTGTGAGAAATCTGTCATTGATATGTTTGCTCCTTTATGGGCAATTGTGTCCTTTTTCTCTGGCTGCTTTTAAGAATGGCCTTATGATATACCTCAGTGTAGTTTCTTCCATTCATGTTTTAATTTAAAGCCATTATCTCTTCAAATATTTTCATCACTCTCCCAACCCCCACTTTTGGAAATTCCCATTATACATATTGTACCACTTGACTTTGCCCCACAGCTCATTGGTGCTCTTTCCTTTTTTCTTTTTTCTTTTCTAGTAGCTTTTTTTTCCTCTGTTTTTTATTTTGGATAGTTTCTATCACTGTCTTCAAGTTATCTAATCTTTTCTTCTGTAGTGTCTAATCTGCTGTTAGCCCTTTCCAGATATTTTTTCTTTTTTTAATTTTTTTTTTTATTTCAGTAGGTTTTTGGGGAACAGGTAGTGTTTAGTTACATGGAAAACTTCTGTAGTGGGTGACAACCCACTCTTTGGGTTGTCTGTTTACTCTGCTGATTACTTCTTTTGAGGTACAGAAGCTTTTTAGTTTAATTAGGTCTCATCTATTTATCTTTGTTTTTGTTGCATTTGCTTTTGGGTTCTTGGTCATGAAGTCTTTGCCTAAGCCAATGTCTAGAAGGGTTTTTCTGATGTTATCCTCTAGAATTTTTAGGATTTCAGGTCTTAGATTTCAGTCTTCGATCCATCTTGAGTTAATTTTTATATAAGGTGAGAGATGAGGATTCAGTTTCATTCCTTTGCATGTTGCTTGCCAATCATCCCAGCACCATTTGTTGAAAAGGGTGTCCTTTTCCCACTTTATGTTTTTGTTTGCTTTGTCGAAGATCAGTTGGCTGTAAGTATTTGACTTTTTTTCTGGGTTCTCTATTCTGTTCCATTGGTCTGTATACCTATTTTTATACCAGTACCATGCCATTTGGTTGACTGTAGCCTTATAGTATAGCTTGAAGTCACGTAATGTAATGCCTCCAGATTTGTTATTTTTGCTTAGTCTTGCTTTGGCCATGTGGGCTCTTTTTTAGTTCTGTATGAATTTAGGATTTTTTTTCTAGTTCTGTGAATAATGATGGTGGTATTTTGATGGGAATTGCATTGAATTTATAGATTGCTTTTGGCAGTATGGTCATTTTGACAATATTTATTCTACCTATCCACAAGGATGAGATGTGTTTCCATTTGTTTGTGCTATCTATGATTTCTTTCAGTCCTAGCCAGAGCAATCAGATAAGAGAAAGAAATAAAGGGCATCAAAATCAGTAAAGAGGAAGTCAAACTGTTGCCGTTCACTAAGGATATGATTGTATACCTAGAAAACCCTAAAGACTCATCCAAAAAACCTCCTAAATCTGATAAATGAATTCAGCAAAGTTTCAGGATACAAAATTAACATACACAAATCAGTAGTTCTGCTATACACCAACTGCAAGCAAGCTAAGAATCAGATCAAGAACTCAGCCTCTTTTATAATAGCTGTTAAAAAAAAAAAAAAAAAAAACTCAAGAATATACCTAACCAAAGAAGTGAAAGATCTCTACAAGGAAAACTACAAAACACTACTATCTTTTGTATTTTTGTTTCAGTTTCATTGAGTTTTACTCCGATCTTTGTTATTTCTTTTCTTCTGCTGGGTTTGGGTTTGCTTTGTACTTGTTTCTCTAGTTCCTTGAGGTTTTACCTTACATTGTCTGTTTGGGCTCTTTCAGACTTTTTGATGTAAGCATTTAATGCTATGAACTTTCCTCTTAGCACCAACTTTGCTGTATCCCAGAGGTTTTGATAGGTTGTGTCATTATTATCATTCGGTTCGAAGAATTTTTTAATTTCCATCTTGATTTCATTGTTGACCAAATGGTCATTCAGGAACAGGTTATTTAATTTCCATGTATTTGCATGGTTTTGAGGATTCCTTTTCAAGTTGATTTCCAATTTTATTCCACTGTAGTCTGAGAAAGTACTTGATATAATTTCAATTTTCTTAAACTTACTGAGACTTGTTTTGTGGCCTATCATATGGTCTATCTTGGAGAACGTTCCATGTGCTGATGAGTAGAATGTCTATTCTGTGGTTGTTGGGTGGAATGTTCTGTAAATATCTGTTAAGTCCATTTGTTCTAGGATATAGTTTAAGTCCATTGCTTCTTTGTTGACTTTCTGTCTTGATATCCAGTGCTGTCAGTGGAATATTGAAGCCCCCCAATATTGTTGTGTTGTTGTCTATCTCATTTCTTAGGTCTAGTAGTAATTATTGTCCAAATTTGGGATCCCCAGTGTTAGGTGCATATATATTTAATATTGTGATATTTTCCTGTTGGACTAGTCCTTTTATCATTACATAATGTACCTCTTCGTCTTTTTTAACTGATGTTGCTTTAACATCTGTTTTGTCTGATATATGAATAGCTACTCCTGCTCACTTTTGGTGTCCATTTGCATGGAATATCTTTTTCCACTCCTTTACCTTACATTTATGTGAGTCCTTATGTTAGGTGAGTCTCTTGAAGACTGCAGATACTTGGTTGAATTCTTATCCATTCTGCAATTCTGTGTCTTTTAAGTGGAGCATTTAAGTCATTTACATTCAACATTAGTATTGAGACATGAGGTACTCTTCTATTTATCATGCTAGTTGTTGCCTGAATACCTTGTTTTTTGTCACCGTGTTATTGTATTGTATGCCCTGTGAGATTTATGCTTTAAGGAGGTTCTATTTTGGTGTATTTCAAGGTTTTGTTTCAAGATTTAGAGCTCCTTGTAGCAATTCTTGTAGTGCTGGCTTTGTAGTGGTGAATTATCTCAGCATTTGTTTGTCTGTAAAAGACCATCTTTCTTTCATTTGTGAAGCTTAGTTTCACTGGATACAAAATTCTTGGCTTTTAATTATTTTGTTTAAGGAGGCTAAAGATAGGGCCCCAATCCTATCTGGCTTGTAGGGTTTCTGCCGAGAAATCTGCTGTTAATCTGATAGGTTTTCCTTTACAGGTTACCTGATGTTTTTGCCTCACAGCTCGTAAGATTCTTTCCTTTGTCTTGACTTTAGATAACCTAATGACTATGTGCTAGGTGATGATCTTTTTGTGATGAATTTCCCAGGTGTTCTTTGAGCTTCTTGTATTTGGATGTCTAGATCTCTAACAAGGCCAGGGAAGTTTTCCTCAATTATTTTCTCAAGTAAGTTTTCCAAACATTTAGATTTCTCTTCTTCCTTGGGAACACCAGTTATTCTTAGGTTTGGTCATTTAACATAAGCTCAAACTTCTTTGAGGCTTTGTTCATTTTTTAAATTCTTTTTTCTTTTTTTCTTTTTTTTTAGTTTGAGATGGAGTCTCACTCTTTCGCCCAGGCCGGAGTGCAGTGGTGCTATCTCGGCTCACTGCAAGCTCCACCTCCTGGATTCACGCCATTCTCCTGCCTCAGCCTCCCGAGTAGCTGGGACTACAGGCGCCCACCACCACACCCAGCTAATTTTTTTGTATTTTTAGTAGAGATGGGGTTTCACCGTGTTAGCCAGGATGGTCTCGATCTCCTGACCTCATGATCCGCCTGCCTCAACCTCCCAAAGTGCTAGGATTACAGGCGTGAGCCACCGCGCCCAGCCTTAAATTCTTTTTTCTTTGTCTTTGTTGGATTGGGTTAATTCAAAAGCCTCGTCTTTGATCTCTGAAGTTCTTTCTTCTACTTGTTCCATTGTACTGAAACTTTCCAGCGTATTTTTCATTTCTCTAAGTGTGTCTTTCATTTCCAGAAGTTTTGATTGTCTTTTATTTATGTTATGTATTTCTCTAGAGATTTTTTTGTCCATATCCTGTATTATTTTTTAAATTTCTTTAAGTTGGTTTTCACCTTTCTCTGGTGCCTCCTTGAGTATCTTAATAATCAACCTACCGAATTATTTTTCTGGCAATTTGAAGATTTCTTATTGGTTTGAACCCATTGCTGGCGAGCTAGTGTGATCTTTTGGGGTGTTAAAGAAACTTGCTTTGTCATATTACCAGAATTGTTTTTCTGGTTCCTTCTCATTTGGGTAGACCATTTCAGAGGAAAGAGCTGGGGTTTAAGTCCTGCTGTTCATTCTTTGGTGCCATGGGGTGATGCCTTGATGTGGTGCTCTCCCCCTTTCCCTAGGGATGGGGCTCACTGAGAGCTGGACTGCAGTGATTGTTATTGCTTTTCTAGGTCTAGCCACCCAGTGGAGCTACTGGACTCTGACCTGGTACTGGGGAGTATCTGCAAAGAGTCCTGTGACATGATCTGTCTTCAGGTCTCTCAGCCATGGATCCCAGCACTTGCTCTGGTCGAGGTAGTAGGGAAGTGAGGTAGACTGTGTGAGGGTCTTTAGTTGTAGTTTTGTTTAGTGCATGGGTTTTCTTGAATGTTGGTTGTGCTAGCAGTTAGTTGGCCTCCAGCCAAGAGGTGGCACTTTTAAGAGAGCATCAGCTGAAACAAGCTTGTCCTAAGTTTGCCTGAATAGGTATTTGGGCTTCTCAGGTGATGGGTTGGACCATAGCGCTCCCAAGAGATTGTATTTTCTGTCTTCAGCTGCCAGGGCAGGTAGGGAAAGACCACTGGGTGGAGCCAGGATTAGGCGTGTCTGAGCTCAGCCTCCCCTTGGGCAGGGCTTGCTGCAGCCACTTTGAGGATGGCGGTGTGGTTCTCAGGCCAATGGAGTTATGTTCCCAGGGGGATTATGGCTGCTCTGCAGTGTCATATAGGTTTCCAGGGAAGTGGGGGAAAGTCGTCAGTGACTGGCCTCACTCACTTCCCACACAGCCAGCAAGGCCAGTCTCACTCCCACTGCACCCCACCGATAGCACTGAGTTTATATCCAGGTGCCGGTGAGCAGAGCTGAGGTCTTGTCCCAGACTACAAGCCTCCCAGCTGAGAAAGCAAGCAGGACTTTCAGGCCCCACCTCTCCCCACCTGCTGTAGCTTCTTTGCTCATATCTACACTTTCTGTTCACCCCCTACCCCACCCCTGCCCCAGATTGTGCCCAGAAAAATTCATATTTGGTCAAAATTATTACAAAGTTCAGCTAGAAGTTTCCTTTTCCCTGTTGTCTTTCCCCAGTTCCACTGGCAGCCCTCCCCAAGAACCTCTATGAGGTAAAGTCAGAAACGGCTTCCCTGGGCACCAGGAATGCCTACAGGGCTCTTTCTGCTGCTTCTTCTAGTTTTATATTTCACTGGGCTCTCTAAATTCATTTCAGCTCTAGGTAAGGTTAAATTCTTCTCCTGTGATCTGAATTTACATGTTCCCCAGTGAGGGTATGTGTTCAGAAGTGGACTTTCCCTCCTCACGCTTTGGGCACTCACAGTGTGAATTTCACTTTGTTGAGTGTAGATATTTTTATATCCTATATTATGCTTAAGCTTTGTTCTGGGATGAAATTAACTTATTGAAAACAGTTGATCCTTTGGAGACTTGCTTTTAGACTTCATGAGGTGAGACCAGCACAGCCCTTTTCTAGGGCTGATTTTTTCCCAATAATGTTATAATTTCCTTTTGAGTACTGTACCTAATACCCTGAGTTACAAGGTTTTGCACTCAGACTGGTGGGAACATGAATTATTCTTAATCTGTGTGAGTAGGTTGTTCCCTCAGCTCCTTTCAGGTGAGTTTTCTCTGACCCAGGTTGTTTTATTACACACATGAATTTATTGGTACCTTGCTGAAGACTTAAGGGACACTTCTGCAGATCACTTAAGTTTTCTCTCTGTACAGCTCTCTCCTGTCTGGTATTCTGTTCTGAAGACCCTAGACTACCAACTCTGTCTCCTCAAGTAAGGAGCTCACCAGGTTCCTAAGTTTCCCTTCCCTGCACTGAGACCCAGAAAATTTTATCAGGCAGTAGGCTGAAGCAATTGTGGGGTTCACATTGTTTGTGTCTGTCTCTCAGACATAACTGCCCTGCCCTGCCTGATCTCTATGACTGTTTTATATATTTTGTCCAGTCTTTTAGTTGTTTCAGACAAGAGTAAGTCAAATCCTGCTACTCCTTCTCGGCTGGAAGTAGAAGTTTCTAGTCTTATGATTTTTAACTGTTGTCAGCTAATTAAAATGTAAAGTTTTATAAGGACTTCATAAGTGTATGCAAATGCTCCTAAGGCTTTCCTGGATGTCAGTTTAGGCCCCCAGGCTTCAGGATTAATCTTTAATTAATACTCTGAGTGGAGACAGGGAAAAGAAGGGTGAATGAAGTTTCTGTGGTCTAAGAAATCCCAATAGACAACTTCTGGAGAAATGACAAGAGAGGGACATAAGCAATCAAAAAGAAGGGCGAGGCCGGGCACGGTGGCTCACACCTGTAATTCCAGCACTTTGGGAGGCCGAGGCAGGCGGATCACGAGGTCAGGAGATTGAGACCATCTTGGCTAACACGGTGAAACCCCGTCTCTACTAAAAACACAAAATTAGCCGGGCATGGTGGCGGGCGCCTGTAGTCCCAGCTACTCGGGAGGCTGAGACAGGAGAATGGCGTGAACCTGGGAGGCAGAGCTTGCAGTGAGCCAAGATTGCGCCACTGCACTCCAGCCTGGGTGACAGACAAAGACTCCGTCTCAAAAAAAAAAAAAAAAAGAAAGAAAGAAAGAATGGGGAGGGGACATATGCATCTCCATCTCAACTCTCTAAAACTAAGACTCAGACAGAGATTTTGGTGAAAAATGTGTGCCTAATAAAATACTTGCTCTAAAAATTAGATTCTAGATATTATCTGAATATGTGCCAGTCACTATTCTAAGCATTTTACATATGTGGATGTATTTAATTCTCTGACAACTGCATAAGTAAGCTATTATCATCTCCAGTTTATGGATAAAGAAGCAGGCTAAGCAAATTCCCCAAGATCCCATAGTTAAAAAATGGCATGGCTCAGATTTCAATCCAGGCTCTGTAACTAATATATTATCTGCTAAGAATATCAGTCTTATCATGTTTAGTTCTCTGGCTTAAAGTCCACAACATAATAAAAGTGAATTGTAGATGCTGAGATGAAGATATTAAATGTAAATACAACAAATACAAGGAAAAATAAAAACTGACAATTTGTTTAAAAGGGCAAGGACATAGAATCCTCTGAAATAGACATTGCACTGAGAAGTCTATCACTAGCATATTAAGGAATGAAGACTCAGATAATGAACTTGCTGTTAAAAAAGCAAACCTCTGTTAATAACTTTTAATTAAACCTTTGATTATATTTTTAAATGTTTTTTATTTCTTAAAAAACAGTTTTGGGCTGGGCACCGTGGCTCATGCCTGTAATCCCAGCACTCGGGAGGCCGAGGCAGGTGGATCACCTGAGGTCAGGAGTTTGAGACCAGCCTGGCCAATATGGCAAAACCCTGTTTCTACTAAAAATACAAAAATTAGCCAGGCATGGTGGTGCACACCTGGTAGTCCCAGCTACTTGGGAGGCTGAGGCAGAAGAATTGCTTGAACCCAGGAGGCAAAGGTTGCAGTGAGCCGAGATCACACCACTGCACTCCAGCCTGGGTGACAGAGCGAGACTCCTTCTAAAATAAATAAATTAATTAATTAAATTAAATAAGAAACAGTTTTGCATTTGAATAATTCTGACACCAAAATAATTTTTATCCTGGAATACACTATTCAATAGTGGTAAACTTTGTTATATGGAAAACATTTCTTATTTCTGAGCAATATCAGGTAAATGAATCAGGAATTATTTGAATTAGAAGGTATTGTTACTAACCCCCTCATACCTCCAATGTACTAAAACTAATACATCTTAAAATTCCTTTTAATCATTTAATTTTTCTTTTTTCCAAAATTTTCCCCACATAAATAAAGTAGAATTTAGCCTCTTCTACTTCAAAAATAAAGTATTTTCTAACAATGTTTATCATTATAAGTTTCTCAGGGCTCAAATGTAGAACATCTTTTTGATAGCTTTTCACTCTTTCCCCAAACATATCCCAGTTTTATGAGACCAAGTACAAATATCTTCCTGTCACACATCATCAGGAGAATCTTGCCAGGTGCAGTGGCTCACGCCTGTAATCCCAGCACTTTCAGAGGCCGAGACGGGCGGATTGCCTGAGGTCAGGAGTTCGAGACCAGTCTGGCCAACATGGTGAGACCCCGTCTCTACTAAAAATACAAAAAAAAATTGCTGGGCATAGCAGCAGGTGCATGTAATCCCAGCTACTCTGGAGGCTGAGGCAGGGGAATTGCTTGAACCAGGAGGTGGAGGTTGCAGTGAGCCAAGATTGTGCCACTGCACTCCAGCCTGGGTGACAGAGCGAGACTCCATCTCACACACACACACACATACACACACAAAATATGGATAAAATATCTAGTGTGAGAGGAACAGCAGAAGGAGAAAGTAATGTCTTGAGGAAGGTGCGAATCATCTGTAAATACTTTTTAGAGTAATGGAATTCCTAGACAGACAGCTTCGCAGGCAGTATTGCCATTCAGTATCATTGGCAACCTTCCTAAAAGGAAAAGAGTAATGTTAATGCCATTTCTGAAGGTATGAATTGAGGATTTTGATTCTTTTTCCATAAATACTTACCTTGTGAAAACTCCTCTGCAATCTCTACTGTCAGTAAGTTTTATAAATGCTGTATACAAGTCTTCAATTCACCATTGCCTGCTTGAGGCTTATTTATTTTTTGAGAAAGAAGCTGGAGAAGTCATTTGAAAATTCATGGGTAGTTCACTCTTCAAGGTTGTGGTGTGCTCTTCAAATAGCTATAAAAATTTCCAAGAGACAGGACCACTGACCCTGCGCTTCGTAGCAAATAGCTTTACTTACTCATTATCTGACTAGCGTATTAGTTAATCATGTAAACAATTATCTTTCTTTTCAGGTGGCAATAATTCATGGCATCTCCTCCCCCTTCCACCCCACACATATACTTATTTATTGTCACAGCCTGATTTATAATTGTTTTTTAGGATTTCTTCATATCCTCCCTCCTACCTTTACCCCTGAGTTCAGAAAATAATAAACACTCTAAATCTCCAAGCAATGGAACTCTTCTAAGAGTTAAGCTAAAGTCTATCCTACCACCTTGCTATATTAATGTCAGCTCATTTGATGTGTCTGTAGAGCAGGATTTGTTTGGCAAGCTTTTTCTGTAAAGGACCAGATAGTATTTCAGGCTTTTTGAGCCATGTGGTGTCGGTCACAACTTTTCAACTCTGCCATCATATTGTGAGAGCAGAAGTAGACAAGGTATGTTTAAAAAAAAATGGGTATGGTTGTGCTCCAATAAAATCTTTTTTATAGACACTAAAAACTTGAATTTCATGCAAATTTTATGTGTAAGGAAATAATTTTTTAAAAATCTCTTCTTTAACCTTTTAAAAAGACAAAAGCCATTCTTAGCCTGTGGGTCGCACAAAAACAGGCAGCAGGCCATGGGCCATAGTTTGCCAACCCATTATCTAAACGGTTAACAGAATGCTTACTACAGGTTTTCTGACCCTCAGCACTAGTAATACTTTGGGACAGATAATTCTTTGTTGTGGACTGTCTTTTGTTTTTGTTTTGAGACAGCATCTCACTCTGTAGCCCAGACTGGAGTGCAGTAGTGCGATCTTGGCTCGCTGCAACCTCCACCTCCCAGGTTCAAGCGATTCTCCTGCCTCAGCCTCCCCAGTAGCTGGGATTACAGGTACCCACCACCATACCTGGCTAATTTTTGTATTTTTAGTAGAGATGGGGTTTTGCCATATTGGCCAGGCTTGTCTCAGACTCCTGACCTCAGGTGATCTGCCCGCCTCGGCCCCCCAAAGTACTGGGATTACAGGTGTGAGCCACCGTGCCTGGCCTGTCTTTTGTATTTTAAGATGTGTCATATCATCTCTGGCCTCTGCCTACTAAATGCCATTAACACCCTACATCCCCCAATTGCAACAACTAGAAAATCTACAGACATTGACAAATGACCTTTGGGGACAAAATTGCCCCCAGTTGAAAATCACTGGTCTAATACACTGAAAACTTAGAATACACCGCATAAAATATGAGCTGGTAGGCTGCGTAGTATAAGATAGCGTCATGTGTCACCTGAGAGATAGCCATTGGATTCTCATGCTTCTAATGTAGAAACCATAATACCGTGGTCTTCCCCTTACCTACAGTTTCATTTTCTGTGGTTTCAGTTACCAGAGATCAACCAAAGTCTAAAAATATTAAATGGAAAATTTGAAAAATAATTCATCAGTTTTAAATTGTGTGCTCTTCCAAGTAGTATGATGAAATCTTACACCATCCCACCAGAGACTTGAACCAGCCATTTGTCCAGCATATCCACGCGGTAGCTGCTACCTGTTCCTGAGTCACTTAGTAGACTTCTGGATTATTGGCTCAACAGTAGAGGTATTGCAGTGCTTCCATTCAAAAATTCCTTACTTTACTTTTATTATGGTATATTATTGTAATTGTTCTATCTTATTAGTTACTGCTGTTAATATTCTATTGTGCCTCATTTATAAATTAAACTTTACATAGATGTGTATGTATTGGAAAAAAATATGGTACAGCTGACCCTTGAACAACACAGATTTGATCTGTGTAGTCTTCTTTTATGTGTTTTTTTTTTCAATAAATACAGCAGGCCCTCCATATCAATGGGTTCTGAACCTGCAACCAAGGCAAGACACAAATATAGTATTCACAAGATTTGAAACCCATGTATATAGAGAGCTGACTGACTTTTCATCTGGGAGGGTTCTGGATGGCTCACTTCCATACTTGAATGTGCTCGGATTTTGGTATAGAAGGGGGTCCTGGAACCAATCCCCCATAGATAGCGAGAGATGACGGTATACATAGGGTCCAGTATTATCTGAAGTTTCAGACATTCACTGGGGCTCTGGGAATGTATAACCTGCACATAAAAGAGAATTTCCGTACTACCTCCAAGTTAATAACCACTGAAGAAATCCTAGGCTTAAGAGAGCCCGTTATTGGAACTTAGATGGTGGCGTTAGAGTGCTTATGCTTTGGACTTAGGAGTCAGTATCCCTTCCCCCCAGCTTTGTCTCTTTCTATATTCCTTTCCCATTTTTCCTCTTTCCACCTCCTTACACTCAAACCATACAGTGTGCACCTGACAGTGGACTACAAAGATTAATATTCGATGAAAGGACTTTGTCCATTTGACCAGACCACTTGAATGATGAGGTGGGAGCCACAGAATACATAGTTGATATTAAATTAAGAATCTAGGCCAGACCCGGTGGCTCACACCTGTAATCCCAGCACTTTGGGAGGCCGAGGCGGGTTGATCACTTGAGGTCAGGAGTTCAAGACCAGCCTGGCCAACATGGTGAAACCCGTCTCTACTAAAAATACAAAAATTGCTGGGCGTGGTGGCAGGTGCCTGTAATCCCAGCTACTTGGGAGTCTGATGCAGGCGAATCGCTTGAACTCGGAGGTGGAGGTTGCAGTGAGCCGAGATTGCGCCACTGCACTCCAGCCGGGGCAAAAGAGCAAGACTGTCTCAAAAAAAAAAAAAATTGAGAATCTAAATTAATTTATAGAAATCCTTTTTCCATAAATTTATCTTTTCTCCAAGTTTTCTTCTGATATGCAAAGTGTGAGACACCTACTCTTAGCTTTTAGATAGTTTACAGGCCAATGACACACAGTAGATGATGTTCTGCCATGATGTCTCAAAGGCAGAGAAACATTCTTATTTTTATCAACACTTTCTCATCCCCATCTTTAAATTATTGGTATAAACAAACTTCTGCTTCTCACTTTAGATTATAATTTTATCATTTTTTACAATTCATCAAAGAAAGTTTTTCTAAATTGCACGGAAAGTTCTATAGAATGCTGAGTTATGTATTCTAAAGAATATTTCTCCTTCCCATTTTTTCATAGCTAAACTGTCAATATTTTTACCTTAACTTCCTACAAAGTCCTATAGCTATTTGATTACTTGATGTTTCAGTATAAAAAAAAATTAGGTCAGGTGTGGTGGCTCATGCCTGTCATCCCAGCACTTTGGGAGGCCAAGGCAGGTGGATCACCTGACGTTAGGAGTTCAAGATCAGCCTGGCCAACATGGTGAAACCCCGTCTCTACTAAAATTACAAAAATTAGCCAAGCCTGGTGGCAGGCACTGGTAATCCCAGCTCCTCAGATGGCTGAGGCAAGAGAATCGCTTGAACCCGGGAGACAGAGATTGCAGTGAGCTGAGATCGTGCCACTGCACTCCAGCCTGGGTGACACAGCAAAACTTAATCTCAAAAAAAAAAAAAATTAATAATGCTGCTTCTGCCTGAAATACATGATTTCCAGTGAGTGAAGGACCACTTGCTCTACTGA
The DNA here is from genome assembly GCF_000001405.40 of Homo sapiens. Classification (NCBI taxonomy): domain Eukaryota; kingdom Metazoa; phylum Chordata; class Mammalia; order Primates; family Hominidae; genus Homo; species Homo sapiens. The sequence goes on from NC_000007.14 coordinate 148,075,517, forward strand.
AGTAAAGCTACTTTACTCAAGTCTCTGAAGGAGTAAGAGAGTCCTGCAGGGCACATTTGAACAGCTCACTTTCAGATACAAGTGATAAAAAATGGAGCCTCAGCAACAACAACAAAAATTATAACTTTTAAAGAGATAGAACAACATGGTTTGAAAAGGAATCTGGATTTTTGCCTCTGGTTGCTGTCATTGACAGGGAAAGTCTTATATTTTCTGAACTTGTTTTTAAATCCCCCCAAATAGAGGGATTAGACTGTGTAATTCCACAAATCCGTTGATTTTATGACCTGGCTATAGCTTGGGAAAGCAACCACATAGTACCGTTGTTACACTCCAGAGCTATTCAAATATTGTTATCAAAGTGGTGCCAAAAATTTCTAATCAAATATTTGGAAGAGTTTGGTGATGAGTCGAAAGTAGCCTGTATGTCTCTGAATTCTGTGATGTTTCTCATTTTTCCTCCCCGTACAGTCTTCATAGGTATTTAGACAAGTAAACACCTGTAAAGGAAGAATGTGGGCAATAAGAATGAATATAAATGATAAATCACATAATCTGATGTAATGAAAGACTTAAGTTATTACAGAAAACCTAGAATTAAATGAAATATTTAAAAAGTGATGTCTTCAGGAAGTCTACAGTTCAGATTCAAGGGTGGCAAATACTGTCCATGGAGACCAGTAGTTCTCAGGAGGGTGACTTTTTTTCTCCAGGAGACATTTGGCAATGACTGGAGATATTTTTACTTGGGCATGTTGTTGATATCTAGAGAGTAGAGGCCACGGATGCTGCTGAACACCTCCAATGTGTAGGACAATGCCCCGCAACAAAGAATGATCTCGCCCAAAATGTCAAGAATGCCAAAATGGAGACACCCTGGTGTAGACCTATGATAGCTCTGACTTCTTTTTTTTTTTTTTTTTTTTTTTTTTTTTTTGAGACAGAGTCTCACTCTTTCACCCAGGCTGGAGTGCAGTGGCCCGATCTCGGCTCACTGCAGGCTCGATCTCCCAGGTTCATGCCATTCTCCTGCCTCAGCCTCCCGAGCAGCTGGGACTACAGGAGCCCGCCACCATGCCCGGCTAATTTTTTGTATTTTTAGTACAGACGGGGTTTCACCGTGTTAGCCAGGATGGTCTCGATCTCCTGACCTCGTGATCCACCCATCTCTGCCTCCCAAAGTGCTGGAGTGCTGGGATTACAGGTGTGAGCCACCGTGCCCGGCCGATAGCTCTGACTTCTAAGTCAACTGTGTTCATCAGTTTCATATCTCCCCTCTTACTTTCCACCATCACAAAAGCCTCTGCCTCCTACCAAATGTTAGTAAATGCAGTGAATGTTAGCAATCTATTTGAAACAAGGTTTCTTGGCATTCATCTAGCTGTATGGATAAAGTTTTACCAGCACAAACTCTGTATGCATGGGGTAGACTGGATCAGACAGAGCAATCTGAACCACAATGTTGGATTTCCTTCAAGCTTGAGAAATATTAATACTACCATATATACAGGCGGGGCATGGTGGGTCACGTCTGTAATCCCAGCACTTTGGGAGGCCAAGGCGGGTGGCTCACCTGAGGTCGGGAGTTCGATACTAGCCTGACCAACATGGAGAAACCCCTTCTCTACTAAAAATACAAAATTAGCCAGGTGTGGGGGTACATGCCTGTAATCCCAGCTACTCAGGAGGCTGAGGCAGGAGAATCGCTTGAACCTGGGAGGTGGATTTTGTGGTGAGCCGAGATCACGCCATTGCACTCCAGCCTGGGCAACACAGCAAGACTTCATCTCAAAAAAAAAAAAAATTACCACACATACTAACAATATGAAAGTTCTAATTCATATTTAAGGAAACATCTGCTTCTACATGTGTTTCTATCTGTGGTTCTGAAAAGCAAATCCTAATTTTTATGAATGATAATTTCTGGGCCTCTTTTTGTCTTTCCCCAGATGTTCCCTGCTTTGTTGCTTAAGAGCTGCATGGCACAGACCATAAAGGTTGTGAGCTCTTCCCATTTCAAGAAACCCTGGGGAGATTCAAATAAACAAATTCAAAATGCCCCTTAGAGTCTTTAACAGACCAGAATTAGTACGTTGTTTGTTTGAAAATCTTTCTTTTTTTCGGATATAAAACTATACACTCAAGACTAAATGGAGGCAGTACAATTACACATTTTGACTGAATTGTCTCATCAGTAAAAGTATCACCTGGCTAATTGTAACTCTTTAGAATTGGCCTAAACTAGAAAATAAACAAGGACCTTATTCAAGTATTTCCTATTATGTTACATACATACAAGTTACCAATTAGAAGTTGATATACACTATTTTGTTTAAAAATAAAATTCAGCAAGCTTCTGATGATTTATTCTGTTCTTGTTTTTCTTACCAGTTTTACTGCCAAAATAAACTCCTTCTCATACAAAGTCTGGGATTATACCACAGAGTTACTATAATTGGATTCAACTTTAATAGAATATTACAATATTAATTTTAATAGAGTATGGTTTCAGATATTAAAAAGATTAATGTACCCAAAAACATAATCATTGTTTTGTTTTTTTTTTAGACAGAATCTTGCTCTGTCACCCAGGCTGGAGTGCAGTGGTGTGATCTCAGCTCACTGCAACCTCCACCTCCTGGGTTCAAGCGATTCTCATGCCTCAGCCTCTCAAGTAGCTGGGATTACAGGTGCATGCCAGCATGCCAGGCTCATTTTTGTATTTTTAGTAGAGATGGCATTTTGCCATGTTGGCCAGGCTTGTCTCAAACTTCTGGCATCAAGTGATCTGCCTGCCTTGACCTTCCAAAGTTCTGCGATTACAGGCGTTGAGCAAGGCATTGAGCCACCCCACCTGGCCACTTCTTTTAAATTGCATAATTTTCCTGTTCTCTATTTCATCCAATCTAAAATAATAATGAGTTTTAAATACTTATTTTTAACATTTTTTTTACACCTATGATTTGAGAATATATATATATTAGGCCGAGTTTCATTTTTGTTGCCCAGGCTGGAGTGCAATGGTGCCATCTCGGCTCACTGCAACTTCCACCTCCCAGGTTCAAACGATTCTCCTGCCTCAGCCTCCTGAGTAGTTGGGATTACAGGTGCCCACCACCATGCCCAGCTAATCTTTGTATTTTTAGTAGAGACAGGGTTTCACCATGTTGTCCAGGCTGGTCTCTAACCCCTGACCTCAGATGATCCACCAGCCTCGGCCTCCTGAAGTGCTGGGATTATAGGCATAAGCCATCATGCCCAGCCTGAGAATAGATTTTTGACATTTTTAACTTGATTTTCCGAGAAGAAAAAATTACATATTTTTAAAAATAATAAATACATTGAAATCTAGATTTTAAAACATGTTTACTTTCTCTCAAATTTGTTAGAAATGTCACAACAAATAGCTTTTTCAACCTATGAACAGTATTTGTAGAAGGGAAAAATGAGGAAGAAATGGGCACATTTTTCTAGTGATTGAATGGTGGTGTCTACATCTTGAATAATTCTCACTGCATATCGTTGCTTGAATTGTAGATCTGTATGGCATGTGACTTGCCTGGGTCTATGATGTTGTCAACAGAAAGAGTCAAATTCTGTAAAATATTTGAAGAGATTTCTTCTGAGCCAAATATGAGTGACCAATGGTCCCGGGAAATCCTGAAAACATGTGCCCAAGGTGGTCGGGCTACAGCTTGGTTTTATACATTTTAGGGGGACATAAGACATCACTCGATACATGTAAGATATACTTTGGTTTTGTCTGGAAAAGCAGGACAACTGGAAGCCAAGGGTAGAAGGGGGCCTTCCAGGTCATAGGCAGATTCTCATGATGTTGCCCAGATGTCCTATTGTAATTTCAATTGGTTGAGTTTATCTAAAGATCTGGAATCCATAGAAGGGAGTGTCTGGATTAAGATAAGTGGTTGTAGAGACCAAGGCTCTTATTATACAAAGCCTACAGGTAGCCGGCTTTGGAGAGAATAGATTGTAAATGTTTCTTATCAGACTTAAAAAGGTGCCAGACTCAGTGAATTCTCTCCTGGATTAGGGAAAAGACCTGGAAATGGAAAGGGATTCTCTACAGAAGTTAGATTTTTCCCCACAAGAGACAGCTTTGCAGGGCCATTTCAAAAATTGCCAAAGAAATATATTTTAAGACAAAATACTTGGATTTCTTTCAGGACCTGCTATCTGTCATGTAATGCTATACTAGAGTCAGGCTGGATTTGGGTGTCTTATTGCTACAGAAAGTCTTAAGATCTCTATTAATGTTAATGCTGGTCAGCTGTGCCTGGATTCCAAAGGGAGGAGGGTATAATGAGGCATGTGCAACCCCCACTCCCCATCATGACCTGAACTAGTTTTTCAGGTTAACTTTGGAATGCCCTTGGCTGAGAGGAGAGGCCAATTCAGATGGCTGTGGGGCTTAAAATGTTATTTTTGGCTTATGATGTGGAGGCAGAAGTAACCTGTATCACTGTTGTGCCAAAGTCTCTAAGAGCTAATGTGCAGTTCACCAAGTTGTCTCCCTATGAGAGTCAGCCATCACTGCAAACAGCAACACTCCAGGTTGATTGTGGTTCTGTCAGCTTCATCCTGCACCCCAGAGTAAAGATGACATAGTGGGGAGCCTGTCTTACAATGAGCATATAGCAGATGCAAGAAATAAACATTTGCCTTGTTAAGCCACTAAGATGTCAGGGTTGTTTGTCCTGCAGCAAAGCCCAGCTCATCCTGACTGATAAACTTATCCATTCAAGTGATCAGCTTTTGGTGTAAATGCCCCTAAGAAAACTGATAAAGCGGCCGGGCACGGTGGCTCAAGCCTGTAATCCCAGCACTTTGGGAGGCTGAGGCAGGCGGATCACGAGGTCAGGAGATCGAGACCGTCCTGGCTAACACGGTGAAGCCCCATCTCTACTAAAAATACAACAAAATTAGCCTGGCGTGGTGGCGGCGCCTGTAGTCCCAGCTACTCAGGAGACTGAGGCAGGAGAATGGCATAAACCTGGGAGACAGAGCTTGCAGCGAGCCGAGATTGCACCACTGCACTCCAGCCTGGGCAACAGAGCAAGACTCCATCTCAAAAAAAAAAAAAAAAAAAGAAAAGAAAAGAAAACTGATAAAGCCTGATGCACTACCTACCTATGCCTTGCCAAAGAATGGTAATAATCCAAAAACTGTTTAATTTAGACCTTCACTATGCAATGCATATTTTATCTAGGAACACTTTTACTGGTATCAGTGATCAAAATTATAGAGCAGGGGGGGAAATGTGAGGAAACAAATCTCAAATGTCAACATACGTGGGGATCTTGTTTGCAGATGAGGAAGTGCATTCTCAAAGCTGTGTGAATTGTCCTCATCATACAGCTATTTTCATTGTATTCTTTCACAAAAATATGTATGTGGATGGATTCTTAGGTGTTAGAGACGGGGAGGAAAGAATAAAGGAGACTCAAGGCATAGGTGGAAACCGTGCATACAGATGGTATATCTTTATGTGTTGAGCATTTATATCATGCATCTGCTAAGTACTGCAATGGAAACAAGGATAAGACGCACAGACTTCCCTAAAGAAATGTAAAATCTCAATGACAAAGAAACATGTGAAGAAGTTAGTATCTTAAGCAAAATGATGCAATTCATAGTAGGCCACTGTGTACTGGAAAAGTAAGGGCTATTCTATTCCAAAGTGTGATTTTTTTATTGGGTGAGGGGGACCTGAGAAAGCTTCATGGAGGGTGTGATAGTTAATACTGAGTGTCAACGTGATTGGATTGAAGGATGCAAAGTATTGATCTTGGGTGTGTATGTGAGAGTGTTGCCAAAGGAGATTAACATTTGAGTCCGTGGGCTGCAAAAGGCCGACCCACCCTTAATCTGGGTGGGCACCATCTAATCGGCTGCCAGCACGGCTAGAATATAAAGCAGGCAGAAAAACCTTGAAAAGACTAGACTGGCCTAGCCTCCCAGCCTACCTCTTTCTCCCATGCTTGATGCTTCCTGCCCTCAAACATTGGACCCCTGGTTCTTCAGTTTTGGGATTGGACTGGCTCTCTTTGCTCTTCAGCTTGCGGATGGCCTATTGTAATCATGTGAGTTAATATTTAATAAATTTCCATATATATATCTATTTTATTAGTTCTGTCCCTCTAGAGAACCCTGACTAACAGAGAGGAGAGGATATCTGAACTAAGCCTCAGAGGAGGATGAATGGCAAGGAGAAGAAACATGTCTCCAGGAAACTGAGGCCTGAGGGGGTAGTAATTTTTCCCGAGCATATGATAAATGACAGTGATTTGGGAAGACTTCATGGCATGAATGTATGTGAGAAAGTGGGCTTGCGAGAGCAAGATTGGAGGAGTTGGTTATGGAAAGGCGAGTAACCAGATATAGGCTGATAGATGGAGTAAGCATAGAGAAGGGCATTGTTTTGTTTGCTTGTTTTTTTTAATTTTTTAAATGTTTTATAGATATGGGAGTCTTACTACATTGCTCAGGCCGGTCTTGAACTTCTGGGCTCAAGGGATTCTCCTGCCTTGGCCTCCCAAAGCACTGGGATTACAGGTGGGAGTCATCAGGCCGGCTTTTAAAGAAGGGCATTGCAGTAGGAATAGAATGAAAGGAAGAGATGAATGAATGGAAGAGATATATGAGCCATTTCAAAATAAGAATCACAACAGTGGAACTGAGTGGCTGTGGATAAAAGCTAAAAGGGTTAAGTCAGGGTTGGGACCAACAGAACTAGAACAATACTTGTATTTTGGCCCAGATGACAAGGGCTGAAGGGCATCCAGTGAACACCCAGAAACTGAGGACGCTAGACTGAAGCCCAGGGGAAAATCCAAGCTAGTGAGGTTTTTCTCTTATGAGTTATGGGAGGAGCAACTTGGAGGGAACACTTATTGATTGCATCTCTTGTAATATCCACAGCAAAGGCATATGAGGCGAGGCTAGGGAAGGAGATAGAGGAGGAGTGTGGTCAGAGACGCAAAAGGCATCAAATAAAGCTGATGTGGAAGAGAACCAGGACGCTCATTGTGGTATGAAAGTCAAGAGAGAGAGCTTCAGGGAGGTGGGGGATTCGCAGGTTTAAGGAGAAAGCAAAGAGAATGAGGACCAAGGAAAGGCCATTGGATTTGAAGTTTGAGATTTTCTTTCTTTTTTTTTGTTTTGTGACAGAGTCTCACTCTGTCACCAGCGTGGAGTGCAATGGCACCATCTCAGCTTATTGCAACCTCCACCTCCTGCGTTCAAGCAATTCTCCTGCCTCAGCCTCCCAAATAGCTGGGACTACAGGTGTGTGCCACCACGCCCAGCTAATTTTTGTATTTTTAGTAGAGATGAGGTTTCACCATGTTGGCCAGGCTGGTGTCGATCTCTTGACCTCGTGATCCACCTGCCTCTGCCTCCCAAAGTGCTGAGATTACAGGCGTGACCCACTGCACCCGGCCTGAACTTTGGGATTCTCTTGGTGGTTGTAGAGAATGCACTTCATTAGCTTTAGATTCTGGGACAGTCACATTATAAAAGACAAGGGGAAATAAAGAGGGTATACAGGACACTGGTGTATACTGTCCACTCCAGATCAGTGGATGAAGAGGATCTGCACCCTAAGGGGACAGCAGATTTATCCCATTGCTTTGTTGTGTTGCTTTGTCGAGATGGGAGATACCTGAAAGCAGAAGGAAAGCAACATAGGAAGACGCTCAAAAATAATGATTTTCTTAAATGCACATGATAATTTATGGCTGACACTGACATTTTCTCAGTTACCTTTCATAATAACATTAGAGAAATGACATAAGGTTGCAGAGTGGGGGGCAGTGGGTTTCTTCTGACTCCACTTCGGTTCCCTTCATAGCATGAACACATTTGTAAGGGAGAAAACGAGGCAGGAATGATGCACATTCCGAGGGTGGGAGTGAAGAATTAGGAGTCACAGGTAGGTTAGCATGTGGAAGAGAAGGTGACTGAAACCAGAGGCAGAGAGGAGAAAGTGGACTGAGATTTACATGTTTTACTCCCTGAAGAGACTAGCAGTCCCTATTTCCACCAAGGGCAGAAACATTCAAACATTCTGCATACCTTTCCTTTTATGCATGAAATAAAATACTGGCATTTGAAGGAAGAGGTTGATAATGTTTATTTCTTAGAACATTCAAGCTTGGCAGTTATGTGACTTATCTCTAGAGCCTCTCAGAAGTCTCTGGGGACGCAGGAGTCTTTGGAGACTCACACTTTCTGCAAAAGTGCAGAAAGAAATACAATTACTTAATGAATACCTACTGTGTACTCAGCAAATCCTTTATCTGTCACTTGTGTTAATTTCTAGAAATTACATAACTAAGAGTCTCCATGAATTGCACTTGTTTTCTTAAGAGGGAAAGAGAAAAAAATACCTTCTTTCCTTACCATTTAAGCCAGTGCTTTTTAAACCAGGATCTGACACTCCGTAGGTGACCATAGATGTAGTATCACAGATCCGTCTGTTTCCAAAATGTTACATTCTGATTTTAAGATCCCCTGAAAGTTGAAATTTCTCTTTTGCTGCAACAACTCACACTTGAGAAAAATTTTCACAGGAGACTTTATTTTCTTAAAGCAGAGTTTGTTAATATGAATTCTCACAGGACTGTGGCAATTCATTTTTCTTTTAATGCGTTCATTACTCTAGACCAAGACATCAATTTTTGTGCAAACCTTGTTTCCTGCTGCCACCTGGTGGAAGCCACATAAGAGTTTTACAGAGGCTTTGGTGGTGCTAGGAGAGGGGCCAGGGCTCTTCCTCAGTCACAGAATCCCACACAGTGATCAAAGAGCAGATCTTTCTATTAAACTCCCTGGCAGCAAAACAGTAGAGGCTTGGCTCTCTGCCCCGGGACTGTGCAGAATGTCACAGGTCGGAAGCCCAGAGCATTTTTCTCTTCTTTTATCTTTAGACTCTTGTGGCTCTCAGACCTTGAATATAATTCTTTGCTGAAAATTCTTTAAAATCATTATCTTTTCTTTCTTCCTTTTTTCTTTCTTTCTTTTTTCTTTCCTCTTTTTTGCTATGCTAGACAGGAAGAAAGAAGGGAATGGCATTTTAATGTAAAGAAGATTGCACTGAAATTATATTACTTGCTTAATTGTATTAATTCACTGCAATAACAATTTAATAATATGACAGGTCATTTACATGCTAATCATTTGGGTCTCTTGTCCAGAGAAATCATGAGGAAGGGCTGGGAAGTGCTCTTATTATGATCAAAATAATCCACACTCTCCTAGAGGAGTGCATAGGTATAGAACTGACATTGTTTGTTTAATAAAGTTTCATTCAAGGCAATTTGGCTGGTTCTTTTATCAAGTGTAATGGGAAAACAAGCCAGTCCTGATGTTAAACACTCCAATGATCCCTCAAGCTTTTTATTCTGTAATAAGTTTTACAGCATTATGTGTTACCCACGACAGTCATTTAGTCGGTCAATTTCAGGCTAGTGATAAAAGTTTGAGTAATGGGAAAGCTGTGTTGATGTTCCATATTCTTTGTGAGATGTCTATGAATTAATGCTCCCAGGTACACACTCAATTTATATTTAACAGCCATTACTAAATGTAATATCTAAGTAAAACCCAGTTATGACCTATATATATGGAAAACTAATTAAAGCTGTTGGAAACAACCTATTTCCCTTTGGATTATTTATGTAAATACATCGAGGTCTAAAAATTCAGTACAAGTCAGATGTGTTCCTGCCTAGGGCTATTATATAAAGCTCAGAAAATTTTATGAGAAAAATGATGATTCTTAAGGATTGAGCTTCAAATGTGAATTTTTCTATTTTATAAGGATATAGCTTGGGTTGTTAAGCATCAACATAGCTTTTCAAAATAGTTTTTTATTCTCACAAGTTTAAAGGCCTTGTAAAATCTCTTCTATTAAATATACATATATACATACATATTACATATACACCAATTGACTAACCCCTCTAAGTGCTGTATCTGAACTAATTTTAAAAGAATACCCGTGTTTTTCAGCTCCCAAATTGAAAAGATTATTAGTTAGTACCGTGATTTCTGAACTTTTAATCAAATTTTCATTCATTTTATAATTTTGAAATTTTGACAATCTGAGAATCTTCTATGATTAAATATATTCTTTCTTCCTTTCTTTTTTCTCTTTCCCTTCCTTCCTTCCTTCCTTCCTTCCTTCCCTCCTTCCTTCCTGTCAGTCTGTCTTGCTCTGTTGCCCAGGCTGGAGTGCAGTGGCATGAACATGGCACACTTCAGCCTCGAACTCCTGGGTGATCCTCCCACCTTGGCCTCCCAAGTGTTGGGATAGCAGGTGTGAGCCACCAAGCCTGGCCTTATAACCAATTAAATGAAGGAAATGATACTATGACACAGACAACCATTTTTCAATCAAGTTATTCTGCCATATTAAATTTTCAGTCACCTTTCTATTGCATTTATTGAATTTCTACTTTTTACCAGTTCTAAGCCTAGATCTGTCTCTCTTAAATTATTAAATGTCTTATTTTCTTATGAAACAACCTTCAGATGTAATACACAGAAGAAAAAGGAGTCTCAGGAAGTTTAGTTTGCCCAACTAGAAATTGAGCACAATTACTTGGTGTGTTGAGGGGGATTTGAAACTATGTCCTTATGATAATTGATAGTTATGATAATTGATGACAAAGGGGTTTTAGAAAGACCTCTTTTGCTTTTAGAAACACTTCTCTTTGCACTTTCTTTAATGCCCATTTTTTAGTTTTATGAATTAAATAATATACATTTATTTAAACAAAAGTATCAACATTTCTCAAGTATCTATAGGTTACTTATCTACTCAATGCAACTAACAATCAAAAACTAGTGCTCCAACAAATTAAATTTTCCAAACACTGAAATATTGATCACAATGTCTCTAAGCATTTCATTGAAATAAAAATTTTGATGTATCTAATTTTCCTAAATATTTTAAATGCATTTCAATATGCAAAACTCTCACAAAATTGTTGTAAATACAAAGGTAATCAGTATTTTTAGATTAAAATCAGTTATAAATGTGCTAATATAGTGAATGTGACCCTTGTCCGGACTCACATTTTTCTTCTTAGTCTTTTCCTGGGTTATATTCTTAACATATCAGCTATTTTTCTATTTTTATAGCTTCTTAGGGTTCAAAAATATTACCATATCCAAATGAAAACTAACTACCTGAGAGCAGCCAACTGCAGGATCTGTGTCAGGATCCAGCTGATTCTTGGTGAGGACACAGATCCAGGTGTCTAAGGAGATTCAGACACTAGCCAGTCATCATCAGATTAAGCTGCACTTAAATCCACATATATCAAATTGTTTTTTTTTATTTTTACAATGGTGCGTTACTACCATGATGTCTTCACAACTGATTTGAGCAGTGTTGCAAATCCCATTTCATTATCCCATCGTTGTGATATATAGACTTGGCCTGTTGGAATACCTTCTTGGAAATTTAAAAAAATAGTTTATTAAGATTATTAGGGCCATTGAAGAATTTCCTCCTAGGAGATAATGCATTGAGTCTACCTTTCAGTCCTCCTCCTCAGAACACGTGCCCGAACTATCATTTTTGAGATCACCATTGATTTCTTTCTACAGCGTGGTCACTGGTACCAATAAAATGCTAGTCTTCATTCCTATCCAGTTATTATGTGGGGCCCCATGTTGTTAGTCTTTCTGATTTCATTATGATACTAAGTTTTAAGGGAAACTTGACTTCCTATTTTTGTGTCTATTGTACTACCCACTATAGCGACTATATAGTAAGGAATATAAATTTGTTTTCATAGGAAATAAAATACCCACATATATTAAATCCCCATTAAACATACCCTATTTCATTTACCCTTCTTTAAATTATAACTATCTTTTTATATGGCTTATATTAACTTTTCTCTCTCAAGCATCATTTTAAGCTAATGACCTTTCAGACTAGACCCAACTTCTTTCAGTCAACCATAATTCATGCTCACTTTCTCCCTCTCTCTCATCAAATCATCGAAATTTGATCAGCAGGAATCTCTTTAACTTGACTCCATTGATTTTTTAGTGTTTTAGTACAGTCTCCAACATTCTTAAAAACATATTTGTTTTCTAGCAATAACAAGATGTCCCAGACTCATTCCAATTTGTTTTGTTTTACTGCCCCAAAACATGGAATCAGCTTCCCTACCATAAGTAGTAAAGAGTAGTAGAGAATACTATTAAAGTCCAAAATCTGGGAACTAGGGATAAACAGGAGAGTTGATGGTAAGTAAAACCAGTGCTGCTGCTTAACTATATTTACTAATGTCAGAGATGGAAAATACAAGTTATTTTAATGTCATAAGCTCACAGTAATTTTTTCCAAATAAGATTATATATTGCTATGCTCTACTTTTCTCAAATTATGTGATTTTATTGAAAATGAAAACTTTTATTTTGGAATTGAAATATTTGACCCTCTTCTTTCTGCTTAGGGGAATTATTTGGAAAGATTTCTTATGCCTAGTTCTGTAGGGTTCCAAACCATGTATACTTTCACAAAATGCATGTGTGCAATAGCACACATGCTATTTCCAGCAGCAAGTTGAATCCTTGTATCTAGCACTGATGGTCAATATGTTTTGCATTTTGCTTTCCCACCTCCAATGAATTAGTATAAACTATGACCTTCATTGATATTTCTTTAGTTTTTATATTTGTATGAATCAGCTACTTCAAACCCTTAATAAAATCTACAACCTCTCCAATAAACCCAAAGTTACTAGATGGAAGGAAACAAAGATTAGAGCAGCAATCAATGAAATAGAAACTTAAAAACAGAAAAGATCAACAAAACTACAAGTTGGTTTTCTGGAAAAAAATAAACAAAATCAATAAAATTTTGGCTAGACTAAGAAAAAAAAAGAGAAGACTCAAATAAATGAAACCAGAAATGAAAGAGGAGACATCATAACCTATACCACAGAAATCCAAAGGATCACAAGAAACTGTTATGAACAATTACACAGCACACATTGAATAAGCTAAAAAAAGAATAAATTCTTAGTCTCATAGAACCCACCAAAACTGAATCATGATGAAACAGAAAATCTAAACAAACCATTAATGAGTGAGGAAATTAAATCAATAAAAAGCCTCCTATCAAAGAAAATCCCAAGACCTGATAGCTTTACTGCTGAATTCTACCAAACATTTAAAGGATAAAATACCAATTTTTTGCAAACTTTTACCAAAAAATGAAGATGAAGAAACATTCTCAAACTCATTTTACCAGGCCAGCATTACCCTGATAACAAAGCCAGAAAAAGCACCACAAGAAAAAAAATTACATGCCCATATTCCTAATGAATATAGATGCAAAAACCCTCAACAAAATACTAGCAAACTGAATTCAACAGCATACTAAAAGAATCATTCATCATGGTCAGGTGGGATTTATCCCAGAGATGCAAGGATGGTTCAATATACAATAATTAATATGATGCACCACATTAGCAGAATGAAGGACAAAACCCATATGATCATCTCAATAGATGCAGAAAAGTCATTTGACAAAATTTAACTTTCTTTCATGAAACAAACACTCAGCAAATTAGGTACAGAATAAATGTATCTCAACACAATAAAGAGCACATACAACAAGCCCATAGCTGACATCATATTCAATTGAGAAAAGTTGAAAGCTCTTCCTCTAAGATTAGGAAGAAGACAAGGATGCCCACTCTTGCCATGTTTATTCAACATAGTACTAGAAGTACTAGCCAGAACAGTTAGGCAAGAGAAAGAAATAAAGGCATCCAAATTGGAAAGGAAAAAGTTAAATTGTCTCTGTTTGCAGATGACATGATCTTATATGTAGTAAATCATAAAGACTCCATGAAAAAACTGTTAGAACTAAAAATGAATTCACTAAAGTTGTAGGATACAAAATCAACATACAAAAATCAACAGCATTTCTATATATTAACATGAATTATCCAAAAAGGAAATAAAGAAAACAATTTCATTTACAATACTAAAAAAGAAATACTTAAGAAAAATTTAACCAAGGAGGTAAAAGTTTATAATGAAATTTATAAAACATTGAGGAAAGAAATTGAAGAACACAAGTAAGTGGAAAGATATCCCATTTTCATGAATTTGAAGAATATTGTTAAGAATTCAGTACTACCCAAAGTGATCTACAGATTTAACATAATGCCTATAAAAATTCCAATAACATTTTTTACAGCAATAGGAAAAGTAATCCTAAAATTCGTATGGAACCACAAAAGACCCTAAATAGCTAAAGCAATTTTAAGCAACAGAGAGATATCACATGACCTGATTTTAAAACCTACCACAAAGCTATAGTAATAAAAACAGCATAGACTAGCATAAATACAGACACATATACCAATGGAACAGAATAAAGACCCCAGAAATAAATTAATGCATTTATGGTAAATAGGTTTTTGACAAAGGTGCCAAAATTATGGGGAAAGGACAGTCTCTTCAAGAATGTATATCCATACATAGAAGTGTGAAACTAGGCTCTCATTTTACACCATATACAAAAATCAATTCCAAATGAATTAAAGACTTAAATGTGACACCTGAAACTGTAAAGCTACTAGAACAAAACATAGGGAAAATGCTCTATGATACTGGTCTGGGAAAAGATTTTTTGGCTATGACCCCAAAAGCACAAGCAGCAAAAGCCAAAATAGACAAATGGAATGACATCAAACTAAAAAGCTTCTGCACAACAAAGGAAACAATCCAACAGACTGAAGAGACAACCTATGGAATGAGAGGATGTATTCACAAACCATACCTCTGATAAGGGATTAGTGTCCAAAAGGTATAAGGAATTCAAATAATTCAGTAGTAAGAAAACAAATAACTTGATTTAAAAATGGACAAAGGACCTGAGTAGATGTTTCTCAAAAGAAGGCATACATGTGCCAACAAATATATTTAAAAGGTTTAATATCACTAATCAGGGAAATGCAAATTAAAACCATAAGATACCACCTCAAACCTCTTAGAATGGCCATTATCAAAATGATAAAAGACAACAAGTGTTGGTGAGAATGTGAAGAGGGAACCATTACACATTGTTGGTAGAAATGTAAATTAGTACAACCATTAGGGTAAACAGTATGGAGGTTCCTCAAAAAATTAAAAATAGAGCTACCATATGATCCAGCAATCCCACTATTGGCTACATATCCAAAGGAAATGAAATTAGTATGTAGAAGAGATAAGTGCACTCCTATGTTTACCGCAGCATTATTCACAATCGCTAAGATCTGGACTCAAGTGCCCATCAACAGATGAACAGGTAAAGAAAATATGGTATATATACATGATGGAAGCTTCAAAAAGAAGGAAATCCAGCCATATGGATGTACCTGGAGACCATTATGTTACATAAAATAAACTAGGCACAAATCAAGTATCCTATGATCCCACTTACATGTGGAGGGTAAAAAAGTTGAAGTAATTGGAACAAAGAGTAAAATAGTGGTTACCACAGAGACTGGGAGGTGGTGGGATTAGGTAGATCTTAGCCAAAGGACACAACATTTCAATTAGACAAAAGGAGTAATTTCAAGAGATCTATTGTACATCATAGTGACTACAGCTAATGACAACATATTGTGTATATGAAAATTGCTATGAGAGTGGATTTTATGTTTCCATTACAAAAAAAGATAAATTTTTCAGATAACGCATGTGTTAAATACCTTTATTTAGCCATTCTACAATGTGTACTGTGTATGTACATGTGTATATGTATATAATCTCAAAACATCATGTTGTACACCATACATATATACAATTTTTACTTGTCAATCAAATAGTTTTTAATTTTTAAAAATTTACACCTTCCTTTTGGAATAAATATCCCAGCTCTCAAAGCTGATAAGTAATGAAGTAAGGATGAAGCTACCTGATTTGGCTGATGTATGGTCCAGAGAAGGCGATGCATATGGGACAAAATCATGAATTAAAAAGGCAATTTTTCTTTAGATTAAAAAATGTCAACAAATAGCAATGTTTGTTATTCTAAGGAAAAATTATTTATGATACATGAAAACATAAAGAACATCCAAAGCTGAGAAGTATTCTTTCTTCATTCTTTTTATAGTCTTCATCTTAAGTGACTTCAATACATACCATTTATCAGCATGTCTGTTACATCTTATATTGAACTGTTTCCATGGAACATCTCCATGGGTCAGACTGTAGCCTCAAAGATACTACAAGCAAAAGAGAATCCAGCAGTGTAGTGGGAGAAGGAGGAAAACCTTCCCTGACTGCTTGGAAATTGATGTATTTATGACATGAAGAAGTTAAAAGACTAGGCCAAGAGGCACAGGATCCAGATAAAACAACTTCCCTCGGGTTCCAGAGACATGAAAATAAAGAATTTATAGTTATCAGGAAGGAGGTAATTTGCTGAAATTCCCATCACAGATCCAAAAACGAGGAAGGAGGCAGACATGTGTTAATAGCTCCGAAGTGGCCTGGAAGTCTTATTTTGCCAGTGATTTAACTGAAGATCAAATACACTCATGTAAGGAAAGCAGAGAAAGCTTGCATAAGTCTCTGGCCTGGACCTGGAAACCCAGTCTGCTTTATTTCCTTGGGGGAGCAGGTTTCCTAATTCTTCCACGACATTTGTTGGTTAAATGTTGACCAACAAAAGCAGAATGTTACATTGTGTTTGATGGGAGGGGAAAGTCCTTGTTTTCTATCTAGTCTGGGGAATCATACATCAATCCACACAGGAATATGCATCAAGTGTTTCCATCTTAATGAGTGGCATGATTCCAGAAGGGCAACAGGCCAGGAGAGCTCTAAAGCTTCCCTGAAAAAATGGAGAGGCTGGTTGTGTTTTGTTCTTGCCTTGGATGGATGAAGAAATGGAAGCAGGTGCCCCATTGGGACCATGGATCAAATGCACTTAGGAACTTAAAGGAAAGTCTAGGGGCTCTGAGTGAACCAGCACCTCCTGCCCTGCTGGGGGTTAGAGGCTTCACTGGCTAGTCCGAAGCCTAGTGGTTTTGAGTAAGAAAAGAACTTCAAAACATTTTACTGTGATTTAAAAATCCTCCATGGTGAGCATGCCCAGCTTTTGTTCTCTCGATGTACCTCCAATCTCTCAAGAAGACATAATTTAGTAACGCTGGGGTTGCTGCTACTATAAATGCTTTGATTAACATTAGAGGAAGAGGACGACAGAAAGCAGCTTCTGTCCCAGCCAATTAAAGAGCTTGTTTAAAGTATGAAAATGATTTATTAGACATGCAAAGAGGGTTGCAAAGAAGAAAGACACACAGTCTCAATTTAAAAAAAAAAAAAAAAAAAACAACCACAAAGCTTTGGTCCAGGTGCCTGCCTTCTGACAACACAGATAAACAGTTTAGTTGATAATCCCCCACATCTTCTTCTTCAGCACAGCAATTTGTTCCAGTTATCATACTTTCTAAATAGAATAAAAGAAAATGATGCTCCTTTATAATATATATAGGGTTTAGATAAAAATAAATAGCACAGTCCACATGCTTTAAACCAAAGATTGAGTCTGTGTGAACAGAAATACCAGATAGCTGTTTGATACAGCATTTCCCAAATAGATATATCTGAGAGCTCTGCTAAAAAAAAAAAAAATTAAATTTTTTTAAAAAGGAAAGCTAGAAAAAATAATAATAAATAGAGCCTTGTGATCATATATGTGCATCAACACCGGCTATATACTCCTTTCGGAAAATCACAATGTACGTGACTCTTGCAGTAAAGAAATGTGTTTAACATTTTTACATTTTTAATACAGCATTTCTCATACATATTTGACTGTAGAAACCTTCTCTGATATGACGACTATTGTCATTCCCTAGAATTAGTATTCTGTTCAACATACTTGGAAAATACTTAACTAGCCAATCTATTTACAATGGGAAGAGCTATAAAGTCCCTCAGTCATTAACAGCTAATACACTTGAAAGATTGTTAGCAGAAAAAGGAAAACATGACGTCAGGAAGCTGGGGCCATGGATTTTGTCCCTTACACATACCTTCGTTTTACAGACATCACAATGACAAATTCACCCTGACCCAACTGAGGTCACATCAGCAACTGAATGTAGGTGGATTGTCTGAAACCCATTACCGTTGTCCACCCACCATCATAGAAAATTATTTTAAATGTATGTATTATAGTAAGAGTACTCTTGATAGTATTATTTTTTCTTTCTTTCTTTTGAGAGAGAGTCTCACTCTGTCACCCAGGCTGGGGTGCAGTGGTACAATCACAGCTCACTGCAGCCTCAACCTCGCAGGCTCAACCTCCCAAGATGCTGTAACTACAGGCCAGTGCCACCGTACCTGGCTGATTTTTTGTATTTTTTGTAGAGACAGGATTTCGCAATGTTGCCCAGGCTGGTCTCAAACTCCTGAGCTCAAGCGATCTGCCTGCCTTGGCCTCCCAAAGTGCTGGGATTGCAGGTGTAAGCCACCACACCCAGTGGCTAATATTACTTAAACCATATAAAACTAGGCAGTGGAGAAAGGGAGTAAGAGTACAGGCTCCAGATTCAGACGGACTTTCTCTGAAGTCCCTCCTACTGCCCATGGGGACTTGAACAAGTTACTTAATTTCTCTATAAGCCTCAATGGCTTCATCTGCAAAGGAGAATAATGACAGCATCTATTTTTTAATGTTTTGTGAAACATATGGAATAATGCATAGTAAGTGCATAGCACAGTAAATGACACATATTAAACATAGACAAATATTAGCTGTAATATTTTATCATCATTTTCTTTACAAATAATAGTGTTTTTGGTAACTAAGACTAAGAAGAAAAGAAGGAAGACAGAAGTTGAATGTCCTTGCAGATGGGGGGCAAATCTGCTGGCAAGATTTGTGATGTGTGTTGCTAATTATCTGTGATTAACTGGTTAATAGATTAGTTAAATCATCCTGTTGGCTCTGCGGAGGATGATCTGGAAGGGGTGGTACTAGAGTCAGGGAGACAAAAGCAGTGGGAAAAGATAACAGAGGATGACTGGAGAGACTTTGGAGCTGGAATTGACAGAATTTGGCACCTGATTTTGCATGGGCATGAGATTTCTGGCTTAGAAGAGACCCTGAAGTTTCATAATATGGACGGTGATATTACTAAGATGAAGACCACAAGAGAAGCCACTCTT